>NC_000023.11:81856481-82159511 GCF_000001405.40 Homo sapiens | reverse complement strand
CTGAATTTCGCTACTCTAAGTAACTCAGTAAGTGAAATCAGAATGTGTCTTTTGTTACTGGCTTATTTTACCCAGCACAATTTTCTTGAAGTTCATCCACACTGTAGTATGTGTCAGAATTCCCTTAATTTTTAAAGCTGAATAATATTTCATTATATATATATATATATACTACATTTTGTTTATCCTTTCATCTGCCAATGGATATTTGGGTTGCTTCCACCTTTTGGTTACTGTGAGTAGTGTTTCTAAAAAATATTGATGTACAAATATCTCTTTAGGTTCATGATTGTAATACTTTGGGGTATATACACAGATGTACTGGATCATTTCGTATTTCCATTTTTAATTATTTGAGGAACTACAGTACTGTACTTCATAGCAGCTGCACATTTTACATTTCCACGAACAGTGTCCAAGAGCTATAATTTCTCCACATCCTGGCCAACACCGTTATTTTCTGATTTTTAAAAATAATAGCTATCCTAAAGAGTGTGAGGTGGTATCTCATTGTAGTTTTGATTTGCGTTTCTCTAATAATTAGTAATGTTTTCACCATTTTTATGTGCTTATTGGTCATTTATGTATATTTTGGGAAAATGTTTAGTCAATTCCTTTGCCAAATGTTTATTCAAGATGCTTTGTTTTGGTTGTTGAGTTGTAGGAGTTTTTAATATATTCTTGCCAAATCTAATGTCATTAAGGTGTGTGATTCACAGTCTTAAAAGACAGAATTCTGAAGAACATAATCCCAAATGCTGAAATTCTGAAAGATCAAAGTCTCTAAATTCTAAATCCTAAAATTCTACAATTACTAATGTCTTAAATCCTAAAAATCAGAATCCTGAAAGATTAAAATTCCAAATGCTGAAATTCTAAATTCTAAATTCTGTGGAGAAATAAGTGTGTCTCCAGTTACACCCAGGATAGTTGCATCATGTTAGGCAGAACTATTGCATTGGCATTGTCTTTATTTGCATTTCGTAAAAAATTGTGTTTAGTAAATTTGCTACAAAATTCTGCAATAATGCAAACTTCAGTTTAAAAATCATCTTTTGTCAGCACTGGCATTCTTTTGAGCTGATTAAACTTCAGGGGCTTTTAATTACTCAAAGCTACATTGGCCTGAAGAAGCCAGCAAAGTTACTGACTGGTTCAAAAATAATTATGTGAGGTAGAAAAATGACACAGATACTGTGATTGAAGGGGAAGGAAGCTGGGAAGCCTGCTTAGCCACCAGGCACCAGAAGTGGCCTCCTGCTCCAAACCAGACCAAAGAAAGGTGTGAGTGAAAGAACCCCACAATACTGCACTCCCACCACAGACCTCTGTGATTCTAGATATGGGATTTCTCACAATTCTCATAGAACTTTGAAATAGCAGGAAGACCCACCCTGGAAACTTGCACAGGCAGAGCTTGAACCCACATGGAGACTATCAAACTACCAATATAATTTTTCACAGAAATATATAAAAAATTCTAAAATTTATATGAAACCAAAAAGATCCCAAATAACCAATTCAATCCTAAGCAAAAAGAACAAAGCCAGAGGCATCAGATTACCTATCTTTGAACAATAATATAAGGCTAAGGTAATCATAACAGCATGGAACTGGTACAAAAATCAAACACATAGACCAATGGAGCAGAATAGAGAACAGAGAACTAAAGCTTCACACCTATCACCATCTGACCTTCAACAAATTCAACAAAAATAAGCAATGGGGGAAAGACTCCTTATTTAATAAATGGTGTTGGGATAGCTGGCTAGCCCCATGCAGAAGAAAAAGCTGGACTCCTACCTTTCACTATATACAAAAATTAACTCAAGATGGATTAAATATTTAAGTGTATAGAAACTCAAACTATAGAAATCCTAGAAGAAAACATGGGAAACACCATTTCCCACACTGGCCTTCAGGAAACAAACAAACAAACAAAAACTTATGACTGAGTTCCCAAAAGCAATTGCAACAAAAAGAGAAATTTTCATCTGGGACCTAATTAAGCTAAAGAGCTCTGCCCAGCAAAGGAAACTAACAGAATATACCGACAACCTCCAGAATGGGAGAAAATATTTACAAACTATGCATACAATAAAGATCTAATATCCAGAATCTATAAGGAACTTAATTTAACAAGCATAAAACAAATAACTGCATTAAAAAGTGGGCAAAAGACATGACCAGACACTTCTCAAAAGAAGACAAACAAGCAGCCAATAGTCATGAAAAAATGCTCAGCATCACTAATGAACAGAGAAATGCAAATCAAAAGTACAATGAGATGCCATCTCACAACAATCAGAATGACTTGTTAAAAACTCAAAAAACAACAGATGTTGGTAAGGCTGCAGAGAAAAGGGATCTCTTATAAAATGTTGGTGGGGATATAAATTAGTTCAGTCACTATGGAAAGCAGTTTGGAGATTTCTCACAGAACTTAAAATAGAACTACCATTCAAAAAAGCAATCTCATTACTAGATATACACCCAAAGAAAAATAAAGTCTTCTACCAAAAAGACACATGCACTTGTGTATTCATCACAGCACTATTCATAATTACAAAGACATGGAACCAGCGTAAGTACCCTTCAATGGTAGATTGGATAAAGAAAATGCAGTACATATTCACCATGAAATACTACAAAGCCCTTTTAAAAAAAGAGATGATACCCTTTGCATCAACATGAATGCAGCTGGATGGCATTATTCTAAGTGAATTAATGTGGGAACAGAAAGCAAATATTGCATGTTTTCACTTATAAGTGGGAATTAAATATTGTGTACTCATGGACATACAGATGAATACAGTAGACACTTGGGACTACTAAAGGGGGGACATAGGCAGGTGGGGAAATCCTTGGAAAAGTAACTACTGGGTACTATTTTCACTATCTGGGTGATAGGACTTTTCATATTTCAAACCTCAACCTCCCACAATTTACCCATGTAAAAAACCTGCACATCTATGACCTATTTGTACATCTACATTTTGGAAAAATAAAATTTCTAGAAATCTTGCTTCTTTGGATGAATGCATAAGTTGCGATGAGCATTATGGATTTTGATCATTCTGTGAAAAGACTTAGGTTGTCTATCACATTTTAGATAACCAAAGTTATAAACCTGAGTGTACGTGATTACCAAACTTAGCAATATTCATTTATATTTTCTGCTTTTTGACGTATTTCTATGTAAACATGCTTTATCTGCTCATAAATTTTATACACATGCAACTCTCCTTAGGCTACTTGAGTGTTTATCCTTACAAAAATATGTATGTTTTTATTATCTGTTTTATTATGTAATATGTCCTATGAAGTTTTCTCTCATGTTTTTATGTTTCTCAAATAAATATACATTTAATCATGTAAATAAATATATTTTACAGATTTTCAAACATTATTTTTCCAGAATAATATTTTTGGGATTTGATCTTTCAGGATTTTAACATTAAGGATTTTGGCATTTGAGATTGTTTCTTTTGGTTCTTTTGGGATTATGAATGACTCACCATGAAGTTTTACCTCCTATCTTTTCTTCTAAGAGTTTTTAATTTTGGCTTTTGTTTTTAGGACTTTTATCTATTTTAAATTATTTTTTGTTTACTATGTGGGATAAAGGGCCCAACTTCCTTCTTTTGCATGTGAATATGTTGTGACCAAAAAACATGTTTTTAAAAGACAGTCCTTTCTCTATTAAACGGCACTTACACTCTTGTCAAAAAACATTTGACCATATATGTGAAGCTTAATTTCAGGCTCTCTACTTTATTCAAATGGTCCATAGGTCTATCTTTATGCCAAAATGACATTGATTTGAATATTTTGGCTTTTCATTAACTTTTGAAATGAAGAATTATAAGAAACCGATATTTGTTCATCATATAAAATAATGATTTTGCTATTAGAGATCTAATGATATTTCAAATAGATGTTAACATAGGTTTTTTTCTATTTCTTGCAAAAAGTGTCACTGGGATTTTGTTAGGGATTGCATTGGATCTGCAGATAGTTTTGAGTAACTTTGGCATGTTAAGAATATTAAATCTTCCAATTCAAGAAGAGAAACTTTTATTTGTGTCATCTTAAATTTTTTCAGCTATATTTTATAGTTTTCAGTGTTTAAATTTTTGCCTCTTTGGTTATTTATTACTATTTTGTTTATTTTGATACTATTGGCAATAATATTGATTTATTAATTTCTTTTTAAAATTTATATTTTCTTTTAGATTAAAGGGTACATGTGCATGTTTGTTTTATGGGTACATTGCATATTGGTGAAGATTGGGTTTCCGGTATAACCATTACTCAAATAGTAAACATTGTATCCAACAAATAATTGTTCAATCTTCACTCTGCTCCCAATTTCTTCACTTTTGGAGTCCCAACTGTCAACTTTTTTTCATCTTTATGTCTATATATACCCATTATTTACTTCCCACTTGTAATTGAAAACATGTATTTGATTTTCTGTTTCTGAGTTAGTTTAATTAAGATAATGGCTTCCAGCTGCATCCATATTTCTGCAAAAAAATATGATGCTATTCTTTTTTAAGGCTAAGTAGTATTCCATAATGTATATATCTTTTTCTTTATCCAGGCAACCATTGATGAATACTTAGGTTGGTTTCACGATTTCACAATGAGAATATTGCTGTGATGAGCAGGTGTCTTTTTTATATAGTGATTTATTTTTCTTTTGGCAGATACTCTATAATGGGATTGTTGGATCAAATGATAGTTCTATTTTTAGTTCTTTGAGAAATCTCCATACTGCCTTCCTTAGAAGTTGAACGAATTTACATTCCCACAAACTGTATAAGCATTCTCTTTTCTCCTCATTCATGCCAATAACTGTTCTTTTTCTTGACTTTTAAATAACCCTTTGAACTGGTGTAAGGTGATATCTCATTGTAGTTTTATTTTGCATTTCCCTGATGATTAGTAACTGAGTATTTTTTATGTGTTGGTTGGTCACTAGTATTTCTTCTTTGAGAAATGTCTGTTCATGTCCTCTGCTCAGTTTTTAATGGGATTTTATTTTTCTGTTTAGTTGGTTGACTTTTTGTCGATTCTTGATATTTGTCCCTTTTCAGAGGCATAATTTGCAAATATTTTCTTCCATTTGGTAGGTTGTCTGTTTACCCTGTTGATTATTTCGCTGTGTAGAAAAAATTTAGTTTAATTATGTCACATTTGTCTATTTTTTATTTTGTTGCCTTTGTTTTTGGGGTCTTCCTTATATATTATTAGCCTAGGTCAGTGTCCAGAAGGATTTTTTCTAAGTTTTCGTCTAGAATTTTTATAATTTCAAGTCTGTCATTTAAGTCCTTGATCCTTTTTGCATTAAGATTTCTTATTTTTCTTTTCAGATTTTTTTATTGTTGGTATATAGGAATGCAAGTAATTTTTGCATGCTATTTTACTGAAGTACTTTGCTTAATTCATTTATTTATTTTAATAGTTATTTTTATGGAATTTTTAAAGGTTTTTTGGTTTGCTTGATTTTTACTGTGGTAAGAACATGTAACATGAAACCTACACAGTTCATTTTTTAAGTGTAAAATGAAGTATTGTTAACTATAGTTAGAATATTGTGTAGTACTCTTGACCTTATTCATCTTGCATAGTTGAAGTTTCACATACATTAACTAGCAGCTCCACATTTTTCCTATTGTCAGTGTCTCATTATCATTATTCTACTTTCTGCTTTTATGAGTTTTACAATTTCAGATATTTTATATAAGTGGAATCATGCAGTATTTGTCTTCTGTAACTGGCTTATTTTACTTTGACTAATGCTTTTAATGTTCATTCATGTTATAGCATATGACAAGATTTCTTTCAATTTTGCTAAATAATATTACATTAGATGTATATACCACATCTTTCTTTTCATTGATGGATACTTAGATGGTTTCTACCACTTGGCTTTTGTGAGTAATTCTGCAATGATCATGGAAGTGCAAGTGTATCCTCAATATTTGTATTGTATTTATTTAGAGTAAATATCCAATGTGTGGATTGCTATATCATATGGTAGTTTTCTTTTCAATCTATTTTTTGAGAATTATCCATACTATTTTCTGTATTAATTGCACCATTTCACATCCAATTTTATGTATATATTTACATCATTTAACCTATATATTTACAGGAATTAATATATACAGATGTGAGGTATTATCTCATTGTGGTTTTTATTTGCATTTCCTTGATAATTAGAGATATTGGGCATCTTTTAATATACCTGTTGCCCATTTTAATGTATTTATTGCAGAAATGTTTAAGTTATTTGCCTGCGTGTTTTTTTTTTTTTTTTTTTTTTTTAGACAGTCTCACACTATTGCCTGGGCTGGAGTGCAATTGCACAATCTTGCTCACTGCAACCTCCACTTCCTGGGTTCAAGCGATTCTCCTGCCTCAACCTCCCGAGTATCTGGGATTATGGGCGCATGCCACCATGCCTGGTTTATTTTTTGTATTTTTTAGCAAAGACGGGGTTTCACTATATTGGCCAGGCTGGTCTCGAACTCCTGACCTTGTGATCCGCCCACCTCGGCCTCCCAAAGTGTTGGGATTACAGGCGTGAGCCACCGTGCCCGGCCATTGTTTGCCTGTTTTTTAATCATGATATTTGCTTTTTTAAAATTTGTTTTGATATCGAGGTGTAGGAGTTTATTCTACATTTGTGATATTAACCTCTAATCACATATATGATATGTCAATACTTTAGTCTATTTTGTAGATTGCCTTTTTGTTGTTCATTATTTATTTTGCTGTGCGGAAAATGTTTAGTTTGAGACCCATTTTTCTATATTTGCTTTGTTGCATTTGTTTTGGGGTCAAAATAAAAAAATCATTGCCGGCAGGGCACGGTGGCTCACGCTGTGATCCCAGCACTTTGCGAGGCCAAGGCGGGTGGATCATGAGGTCAGGAGATCAAGACCATCCTGGCCAACATGGTGAAGGCCCATCTCTACTAAAAATACAAAAATTAGCTGGGTGTGGTGGCACGCGCCTGTAGTCCCAGCTACTCGGGAAGCTGAGGCAGAAAATCGCTTGAACTGGGGAGGTGGAGGCTGCAGTGAGCCGAGATCATGCCACTGCACTCCAGCCTGGTGACAGAGTGAGACTCAATCTCAAAAAAATAAAATAAAATTTTAAGAAATCATTGCCAAATCCAATGTCATAAAGCCTTTTCTTAAGCTTTGTTTTTTTTCTAGGATTTTATAGTTTTAGATCTTTAGTTGATGTTGTGTATTTTGGAAGATAAGGGTCTAATTTTATACTTTTGCATGTGCATATCCAGTCTTCTGAGTACCATTTGGTGAAGAAACTATTTTTCCCCATTTTGTATTCTTGGTGTCCTTGACAAAGAACTGTTGACCTAATACATGTGGGTTTATTCCTAAACTCTCTATTCTGTTCTATCAATTTAGATGTCTGTCGTTATGCCAGTACCATACTCCTTTAACTACTATAGCTTTGTGATACATTTTGAAATCAGGAAGTGTAAAGAATTTAACTTTGTTCTTTCACGGGGTTGGTTTGGTTACTGGCGGTCCTTTGTGTTTTCATACAAATTTTAGGACTTATTTACTTCTTTTGTATAAAATGCCATTGAAGTTTTTGATAGAGATTGCACTGAATCTGTAGATCAATATGGGAAGTATGGAAATGTTAACAATATTAATTTTCCAAGCAATGAACACAGGATATCTTTCCATTTATTGGTGTCTTCTTTAATTTTTTTATCTTTTTTTTAGTTTTCAATATACAAGTGTATTACTTAGTTAAGTTCATTCCTAAGTAATGTATTTTTTGGATGCTAGTGTAAATAAGATTGTTTTCTTCATTTTATTTTTAGATGGTTCACAGTAATTGAATAGAAATGCGAACGATTTCTGTATGTTGATTTTGTATTCAGTAACTTTACTAAATGTGTTAATTAGTTTAAATAATTTTTATAGTCTTCAAAATTTTTTGTAATATTTAAAATTTTGCATAAGTGAACACTATTAGTAAATAGAGTTAATTTCATTTCTTATAATTTAAATACCTTCAATTTAATTTTTTTTTGCCTATTTTATTTTTGCTACAACTTCCAGTACTGTATTGAATAGAAGTGCAAGTCTGAGGATACCTTGTCCCTTGATCTTTTTCCAGAAAAGCTTTCAATTTTTCCCTAATGAGTATGATGTGAGCTAAGAGCTTTGGATATAGGGCTTTTATTGTGTTGAGGTAATTTCTTTCTATTTCCTGTTTATTGAAAGTTTTTATCATGAGTGTGTGTTGAGTTTGGTCATTGTTTTTTTTCTGTACTTATTGAGATAATTATATATATATATATATATATATATATATATATATATATTTTTTTTTTTTTTTTTTTGAGATGAAGTCTCACTCTGTTGCCCTGGCTGGAGTTCAGTGGCACAACCTCGGTTCACAGCAGCCTCTGCCTTCCAGGTTGAAGCAATTCTTTGCCTCAGCCTCCCGGGTAGCTGGGATTACAGGCGTGTGCCACAACATCCAGCTAATTTTTGTATTTTTAGTGGAGATGAAGTTTCGTCATGTTGGCCAGGCTGATCTCAAACTCCTGGCCTCAAGTGATCCACCCACCTCGGCCTCCCAAAGCGCTGGTAAACTTTACTTTGTTAAGGCTGTAAATCACAATATATTTTCATCGGTTGAAGCCTTCTTGAATCGCAGGGATAAATATCACTTCGTCATGGTGTTTGATCGTTTTAATGTGCTTTTAAAATTTTGTTTCCTAATATATTGTTGCAGATTTTTGCATCCATGTTTATCAGGGATATCAGCCTATAGGTCTTATTATATTAGTTTCTTTACCTAGTTTTGATATCAGGGTAATGCTGCTCTCATAAAATGACTCTATATGTATAAACTTTGTAAGTATAAACGTTATGAGAATCTTCATTTTGGGGGAGGAACAATTTATGAAGAAATGGTGTTCATTCTTCTTTATAAATTTGGTAAAATTTACCAGGAAAGCCTTGTGGTCCTGGGCTATTGTTTCATTGGGAGGATTTTTCTTAGTGATTCAACCTTCGTACTAGTTAGTGCTCTCTCTGGATTTACCTTCTTTATGATTATGTCTTGATTTTATTTTTGTAAGAATTTACCTATTTCTTTTAGGTTATATAATTTGTTGGTATGAAATTGTTCATGAGAGTCTCTTATAATTTTCCTGATTTCTATAAAATCAGTTACAATGCACCTTTTTTATTTCATGTATTTGAGTCTTCTTTTTTCTTAGTGAAGCGAAGATTTTAATTTTATTGATGTTTTCAGAAAACCAGTTCTTAGTATTGTAGAAATTTTTGTTTTTCTAGTCTCAATTTTATGTATCTTTGTTCTAATGTTTATTATTTCCTCCCTTGTGGAAAAGTTAAACTTCTTGTTCTGTTTTCTTGAGGTATGATGTTAGGTCATTTATTTGAGTACCTCATTTTTTTTAATGTTAGGTATAAACTTTCTTCTTAGGACTGCTTTTGCAGTTTTAGTATGTTTCATTTTGTATGTTTAGTATGTTTCATTTAGTATGTTCTCATTAGTTTTAGTATGTTTCATTCTTATTTTCATTTTTTCAAAATATTTTCTGATTATGCTTTTGATACCTTTGAACCATTTCTTATTCAGGAATTTGTTAATTAATTTCTACTTCTTTGTGAATTTTTCAGTTTTCCATCTGCTATTAATTTCTAGTTGCAGTTTATTGTGGTTGGAAACGATACTTAACATAATTTTAATCTTATTTTTCCAGTTTTATTAAATTATATTGAAAAATAAAAATCACATAAGTTCAAGGTACACAATGTGATGATTTGTTATATGTATAAATTATAAAATGGCAAAATTAATTTAAATCAAATGCATCTCCTTGTGTAGTTACCTTTTCTGTGGTGAGAATAATTAAATAGTTTTCCTTGTCACCTTTCAAGTTTACAGTGTATTATTATTAGCTATATTTACCATGCTGTACATTAGGTCTCTAGAATTTTTTATCTTATAACTCCAAATTTGTAACTTTTGACCAATATCTCTCCATTTCCTCTTCTAACCATGGTCACTTTCTTTCTGCTTTATTTTTCTTAGTTCAATTTTATAGATTCCAGATATATTGAGATCAGGAAGTATTTGTCTTCCTGGGTCTGACTTATTTAAATTGGTAAAATGTCTTTTAGTTTCATCCATTTATTTGTAAATGGCAGGACAGTTTTCAGTTTTAAAGGTAAACAACATTCTATTGTGTGTGTGTTTGTGTACACACACGAACATGTAAGATGACTTCAAAAGATATTGAAAATCAAAATTAAAAACACAAATAAAAAATTTACTTCTTAACATAAGCTCTATCAGTTTGAAAAGGCCATATTTCTGCTCATTTCTCTTGTTAAACAACAAATTTTTTGAACATTTTGATAGGAAATTATTAGACATCTACCTTAGAATTCTAATTTTGCTCCTTTTGACTTCTTTTTAATTTCTAATCTCAAAAAATTTTTAAAAAGGCCATCAATTTCAACACACCATTGTAAGTGATGATACTAGTCATTTGGTCCATCCCTAAAGTATTGAGGGTCCTGGAAGTTGATCTATGTGAGGGTCCTGGGAATTGATCTATGTCAATGCAGTCTCTTTTACATTATTAACTAAACATAAATGGGCCCCCTTTAAATATATTTTTAAATTAGAAAACAAAAAGAAGCCAAAATGAACCAAATCAAGATTTTAAGGTGGATGCCTAATAATTTTCCATGAAAATGCTCACAAACTTGCTCATTTGATGAGAGGAATTAGCAGGAACCTTTTCACACTGGTGGATGGCTCTCTGACAAAACTTTCCTGTGCATATTTTTGCTAAAGCTTTGACTAACTTTCTCAAAACACTTTCATAATAAGCAGATGTTGCTTGTTTTTTAGCCCTTAAGAATGTCAACAAGAGCAAAATTTCTTGAGCATCCCATAACTTGCTCTTTACTGTCTGCTCTTGCTTTGACTAAACCACTTCTGCTTTTTGGTAGCCATTATTTTGATTGGGCTCCATTTCCAGGATCACACTGGGAAAGCTATATTTTATCCCCTGTTACAATTTTTCAAAAAAAAGATTCAAGATATTAATCTTTTCTAAAATTTATCTTGAAATCTCTGCTCTTGTCTGCAGCTAACCTGGATTCAATGGTTTCAGCATCTATCAAGTAGAAAATTTTCTCAACTTTACCTTTTCAGTCAGAATTTTGTAAGCTGAAACAACTGAGGTGTCTATGGTGTTGACTATCATTTCTGCTGTTAATCATCAGTCTCCTCTAATTAGGGCATGAACAAAACGATTTTATTTCCTCAAACTGGTGTGGATAATCTGATGCTGCAAGCCTCATTTCCAACATTGTCCCTTCTCTTAATAAAATGAATTATCCATTTAGAAACTGCTCATTTCTTTTGGACATTTCCCCCATTAACTTTTCATGAAGCAACAATTATTTTTACCATTATTCCACCCACACTTTTTCATAAATTTGATTTTTTATTTTCAATATCAGCAGGATTCATGTTACTTTGATAGAGATGCTTTTCAAACTGATGTTTTATTCTTCTTATTGCCTCAAATTATGTCCTATTCAAACATGAATTACTATGAGTTTATTTTGGTGTAAAAATTTTAATTTATGAAGAGATTTTTTCATAATATCCATTTTCATAAATTTTTTGAAGTCCCCCGTGTGTGTGTGTTTGTGTGATATATTCTTATCGATTTATTTGTTGATGAACAATTAAATTGTTTTCATATCTTGGCTATTGTAAGTAATCCTGTAATAATATGATAGTACATATATATTTACAAAGTCCTGATTTTATTTGCTTTGGATATATACCCAGCAGTGGGACTTCTGGATAATATGGTGGTTTTACTTTTCAATTTTTTGAGGAAACTCTATACTCTTTTATAGTGGCTATACCAATTTGTATTTACACCAACAATGTATATGGGTTATCTTTTCTCAATATGTTTATCAACACTTAACTTTTGACTTTTTGATAATAGCCATCTTAGGAAGTGTGAGATAATATCCTATTGTGGTTTTAATTTTTATTTTTTTGAATAATTAGTGATGTTGAGCATTTTTATATACCTGTTGCCTATTTGCATGTCTTCTTTTTTTAAGAAGTCTATTTTGTCCTTTGCTAATTTTAAAATCAGGTTATTTGATTATTTCACCATTGAGTAGTATAAGTTATTTATATATTTTTGATATTGATCTCTGATCAGATATATAGTGCTCTGGTTTAAATGTGTTTTCTCCAAAATTCAGGTGTTGCCAATGTGACAGTATTAAGACGTGGGGCCTTTAATAAGTGATTAGACCATTACAAAGATTCTCCTTTGTAAATAGAACTAAGGCCTCTGGTGATATGAAAAAAAAGCAAACAAGAGTGTGTTTTTCCTACTTTGTACTTACCACAACAGAAGGCTTCCATCACCCCTGATGTGTGTGAGGTTTTCCCACACACACCAAACTATTCTACAGATGATTCTATGGTGGACACCAGCTGGGTGTCCTCTAATTCAATTCAACTCAATCCAATTCAATTCAATTCAATTTGATTCGATTCTGACACTATCAGTTTCAGATCCCACTGCCTGATGGCTCAGTCCCAAAGGACTGATCCCACACTATGTATGCCAGTCACAAGCACTGATTGTGACCTGTTCCTCTGACCAGCAGCTGTAAATTAAGGTTTTCAAGCCTCCCTCCTTGGGATTTATTAATTTACTTGAGTGGCTCACACAACTCAGAGAAACGCTTTACTTACATTTATTCATTTATTCTATTATGAAGGACACAAATGAACAGCTATATAGAAGAGATGCAAGTGGTGAGGTAGGGAAGAAGAGGTATACATTCCAGGCCCTCCCTGGCTGTGTGACTCTCCACATGTTCAGCTATCTTAAAGCCCTCAGAACTCAGTCCTTTTGGGTTTTGTGAAAATACTATTATGCAGGGATGATTGATTAAATTATTAGCCCTGGGCTTATCAACTCAATATTTAGCCCCTCTTCTCCTTGTGGATATTGGGTGTGGGAGTAAAAGTTTCAACACTCTAATTACATGGTTGGTTGCTCTAGCCAACAGTCCTCATTTTGAGGCTATCTATTAAATAGCAACCCCCAGCCACCTGTCATCTCATTAGGATAAAAAAGATACTCTTATTAATTTTGGTAGCTGTATGTCAGGAAATTGAGATAAAAGACAACTGTATATTTTACAATATAAGGCCCTTATATGAGAAGCTCCCTGCGATGGTAATTGGCTGATGGAAGTTAGCTTTTGGGTTTCAAGTAAGAGTAGTGCAGCCATTGCTAAAACCCGAAGGCAAGAGGGCCAACCTTGGGAAACTGAATCAAGTTGCTTTGAGAAATAAGTGATGGGAAGGAGTTGGTCTCCTGCATGCTGACCTAGGAGGCCTAGGGCTAAACCTTCGGCATTATGAACATATAGGGTAAAATTTGCGTTAGGGTTAGTTATGGCCAAAGCTGGGGCCTGTAGAAGGGCCTTTTTTAATTGTTCGAAGGAGCAAATTATATCCTGTGAAATATCTAAAGGCTCATTGAGGTCCCCCTCTGATGCTGCATAAAATGGTTTTGCTATAATTCCAAAGTTAGGAATCCATAGCCTGAAATACCCTGTGAGCCCTAGAAAAGACCACAAATCCCACTTAGTGGTAAGCATGGGGAGGGAAGCAATTACTTGCTTCCATTCAGATGGAATTTCTTTGGATATTGGGGAGACTAAAAGGCTCAGATAAGTGACTTTTGATGAGGTGATTTGGGCTTTGTCTTTAGATACCGGTACTTGAGGATGGATAAATGTTTGAGTAGGGTTACAGTGAGTGCTATACAAATTGGTTGTGAGGGGTGACAGAGAAAAAAGTTATCCACATACTGAAGAACAGTACTAGGGTGAAGTGATAATTTTTGAAGTTCTTATGCCAAAGCTTGATGGAATAGATGGGGGCTATCTTGAAACCCCTGTGGTAGGATTGTCCAGGTTAACTGCATAGAAGTTTATGAGTCTGGATCAGTCCAGATGAATGCAAAAAGGGGCTTGGAAGCTGGGTCAATGAGAATAGTGAAAAAGGCATCTTTAAGGTCTAGAACAGTAAAGTGAGTAGTGTTTGGTGGGATTTTAGATAGTATAGTGTACGGATTGGGAACTACAGGGTGAATGAGCATTACGGCTTCATTAATTCAGCTCAAGTCTTGGACTAACCTGTATTGTCTATTTGCTTTTTTTTTCTACCAGAATGGGGGTGTTATGGGGAGAATTGGTGGTTGTTAAAATGCCAGCTTTTAGTAGTCTGGTGATGATGGGTTTTATTCCCCTAAGTCCAGCCTGGCTGAGGGAATATTGGGGTTGTGAAACAATTTGGGAGGGGTTTTTAAATTTTATTAAAAGTGGCTGACTTTGGGAGGCTGAGGTGGGTGGATCTTTTGAGGTCAGGAATTCGAGACCAGCCTGGGCAACATGGTGAAACCCTGCCTCTACTAAAAATACAAAAACTAGTTGGGAGTGGTGGTGGGCGCCTACAGTCCAAGCTACTCAGGAGGCTGAGGCAGGAGAATCAGTTGAACCTGGGAGGTGGAAGTTGCAGTGAGCCAAAATCGCACCACTGCACTCCAGCCTGGGCAACAGAGTGAGACTCTGTTTCAAGAAAAAATGTGGCTGGTGGTATGTGGCAACAATGGGCTGAGAAGTGTCCCATACCGTTGGGTTAACTACTTGGATTGAAGTTGTTGAGGACTGGGTTTCGCTTTTATTGTTTTCTGACTGGCAATGGAGCAAGTATGCTGGCACTTGAGGCAGAGTATTAAATTGTAATATGGCCCCAAATTTATTGAATATGTCTCTTTCAATAAGTGGTGTAGAACACTGTGGAATTACTAAAAATGAGTGAGTAAAGGCAGTATTGAATAAAGTGCAGTATAGTGGAGGTGTTTGAGAGAGGGTTATAGGGTGGCCATCAACCCCAGCAACAGAAATGGAGGAACGATTTTGGGGTCCAGAATATTCTGGAAGAAATGAGAAACTTGCCCCAGTATCCAGTAAGAAGGAAATTGGCTTACAAGATACCATCATGATTACCCTGGGCTCTGGAGACTCACGTGATGTGGGGACAAGGGATCCCAGGCACAGTCAGTCTTCAGATGCTAGTGCCAACAAAAAGGAGAGGCTTCCCTGCTGTGGGTCCGGGGACCTACTAGAGAATGCTGTCAAACAGGAAGGGTGTTCTCGTTGAGAGCAGTCTATTTTCCAGTGTCCCCATTTACCACATGTAGGACAGGGCTTTGCTGGGGGCCATGGGTTTGGGCAGGCCTTTGCCCAAAGTCCTGTGTTGCCGCATCGAAAACAGGTGCCAGGGTCCTGAGAAGATGATCTTTCCTTAGAAACCCTCTGGAGGGCAGCAGCTAGGATCTGGTATTTAATATTAACCTGCTTCTCCTTTTGCATTTTATGTTCTTTCTCTCTGATATTGAAGACCTTGAAGGCCAGATTTATAAGATCCCTTCGTGGGGTCTGTGGTCCCTCCTCTAGTTTTTGCAGCTTTTTCCTAATATCTGGTGCTGATTGTGAAATGAAATGTAAGTGAAGATAGGCTTGACCCTCTTGTGATTCAGGGTCTAGTTTTGTGTATTTGAGCATGGTCTCTGATAACCTTTACAGGAAAAGCTAGATTTTCATTTGGGCCATGGCTTATTTCTCTAATTTTTTCATAATTTACTGCCTTATGGGCACATTTTTCCATGCCAACCAGGAGACAAGTGAACATATGATTATAGCACTGGATGCAGGGTAAGTTTATTAGGGGTCTGCTCCGGGAACAGCATTGGCTGCAACAGGATTATGGACTACATCTTGCTGGTGAAGTATATTGGTATGGGCTTGAGAGGCCAGCCAAATGCATTGTTTCTTATCTGGGGTAAGAGTGGCTAAGAGGATAACATAAATGTTATGCCAAGTAAGGTTATATGACTGAGTAACATAAAGAAACTCCCTTCGGAAGTGGGAAGGGTCAGTGGAAAAGGAACCAGGTGCCTTTTGATCTCAGACATGTCTGGCATTGAGAAGGAACATGAACCTCGCAGAGGGGAAGGATGGCTAGGGTTTGACTGTTTTTTTGAACAGGTGATATAGATAGAAAGGGGAGTGGGGGAGGTGGCGATGGGGCTGGTGGCTCCGGCAGGGGCCTGAAGCTGGTGGTATGGTGGAGGTTCCTCAGCGGGATCAAAATTGCTCTCAGGGTTGTTATGGGGGAAGAGTGAGAAGGGGACTGGGAATTTTCGTTTAGCAATAACAACTGGTGAGGGGAACAAGTCTGACAGAGAGGGTTTTGAGCATAAATACATGAAAGCCTGGATATAGGGGTCCTCAGACCATTTGCCATTTCTTTGTAAGAATTTGTCAAGATTGCATTGAATTTGGAAATTAAAAGTGCTATTTTCAGGCCAGTAACTGCCATTATCCAACTTGTATCGTGGCCGGGCCACATTGCAGAAGAAAATTAGCAGTTTAGGTTTTATAGTGTCAGTAAGCTCCAATTGAGTTTGGTTTTTAAATAGACAGCCCAAAGGTGAGTCTAAGGGAATTTTGGACGGCAGATTTCCCATTTCTGTTTTCCAGGATGGAAGCCAAGGGAGATGGGGTCAGTTGAGGTGTTCCAACAACTGTCTCAAAAATCCCGGCAGAAGATTTTGAAGAAAAACCCCGGTTTTCTTGAATCCTCACAGAAAGGGGAGACTAGAAACAAAAGACATCTCCTTTGCTTCCAGATTCCCGGAGTTGTCTGGTAATGAGGCAATCCTTTCCTGGCACCAAGGAAGGGCTGCCAAAACTTACCAGTTCGAAGCGATGTCTGGTCATCAGTTGGCGGTGGCCTTTCGCTGGAGTTGCCAAGTAAAGAAAGGGGTAGGGAGGGGAGAAGAAAAAGAAGGAGAGTGGAATGTGAAGGTGGGAAGAAGGATGGTAGATGGGGCTGGGAACACGAAGCCGTGAGAGACAACCTCTCCGCTATGAAACCCAGACCCCATTCTGGGTTTTGGCACCAAATGTTAGAAAAATATAAAGGAAGAGAGTGAGGGAGAGAAAGCAACTCAACAACCAAATAGGTTTGTTTACAGGAATAAGCCTGTGAGGGGTCCCAGTCAGGAATCTGGCTGAGACCCTGATCTCTTTGATCACTCACAGGTTAAGGTTTTTATAACAAATTATCTGTAGGGGAGGAGTTGGGGAAGTGCTGGCAGGTTGGAACTGTAGGGGGCTGGGGAAGGATGTGGTAAGAGCCATCAGGCTTTGTTGTGGTCAGTGTTGTTATGCTCTGTTAAAAGTATGGGCGAGGTTGGCATTTGCTTTGTTTCTGGGAACAACCTAGAAAACACAGTCTCCAAGGTAGAAAAATGGCATCCCTACTGTTTAGTTCTCACACTTTTTTTTTTTTTTTTTCAGATCACTAGAAACCTTTATTCCATTTACAAGGAAGAATCTTTCATGGTCAAATCACTTGTCTGACCAAACTTTACTAAGTTTGTTCTTGACTACTTGGTCGAAAATCAGTTGACTGTAAATATGTATTTTTTACATTGGTCTATGTGTCTATTTTTGTAAAAATACCATGATGTTATGGATAGTAAAGCCTTGTAATGTATTGAGTTTTTTCTTGCATAGCTTTATTTATTCTTAAAATCATTTATTTGAGATATTTTCTTCATTAATCTCATTTCTCAAAGGAAGGTACTGGGTTCAGATGGGCTCTACTTGGCAATCTGACACTGGGTCCACACTCCTAAATTTATTTTTCTGCTTTTCAAAATAAAACTAATGGAATTTTCTTTTCTTTTTTTTTCAACTTTTATTGTAGGTTTAGGAGGTACATGTGCAGGTTTGTTACTTGGGTAAGTGTCAGATGGTGTGATGCCTCCAGCTTTTGTCTTTGTGCTCAGGATTGTTTTGGCTTTTCTGGCTCTTTTTTAGTTCTATACTAATTTTGGATAGCTTTTTCAATTACTGTGAAAATATTATTAGTGTTCTGATATCGATTGCATTGAATCTACAGATTTCTTTGGGCAGTATGATTAGTTTAACAATATTAATGACTCTGATTCCTGAAGATGGGATATACATTTATTTTTTATGTCCTCTTCAATTTATTTAATCAGTGTTTTCTCAGTTTTCCTTGTAGAGATCTTTCAACTCTTTGATAAAATTTATTGCTAGGTATTTTTTGTAAGTATTAAAAAATGGGATTGCATTCGTAATTTCTCTTTTGGCTATTTCATTTTTAGTGTATAGAAACACTACTGAATTTTAACCTTTAGCTTAATATTGTCTCATTAGTCTATTTTTGTTCTTCTTACCTGTGCTTTTCAGGTCATAGCCATATTTCTCCAGAACAATGTCCGAAGTGCCCATTTTCCTCTGTTATCTCCTCATGGTATTACAATTTTGGGTCTCATATTTAAGTCTTCACTCTACAATTAGTTGATTTCTTGGGAAGAGATAGAGGCCCACTTTTATTCTTCTTCATTTGGTTATCCAGTTTTCCCACCACATTTATTAAAGATGGTGGCATTGCCCCAGTGTATGTTCTTGACAACTATGTTGAAGATCAACTGGCTGCACATACATGCATCTATTTATGGATACTCTTTTCAGTTCCATTGGCTCATGTGTCTACTTTTATATCTATACCATGTGGCTTTGGTTATTATTGCTTTGTAGTATAATTTGAAGTTAAGTAATGTGATGGTTCCAACTTTGTTCTTTTTGATCAGGATGTATTTACATATTCTGGCTTTTTTTAAATTTCCATACTAATTTTAGGATTTTTTTCTATTTCTGTGAAAAATGGCATTGTTATTTTGATAGCAGTTACACTGAATATGTAGATTTATTTGGGAAATATGTTCACTTTAATGATATTAATGCTTCTGATTCATGACCATGGGGTGCCTTTCCAGTTGTTTGTGTTCTTTTACATTTTTGAATCAGTATCTGGTAAATTTTCTTCATTTTTTTTTTTAATTTAGAGCTCTTTCACCTCCTTGGTTAAATATATTCCTAGGTCACTAGGCATGGTAGATTTTTTTTTTTTTGAGATGGAGTCTTGCTCTGAAACCCAGACTGGAGTACAGTGGTGCTAACTCGGCTCACTACAAGCTCCACCTCCTGGGTTCACGCCATTCTCCTGCCTCAGCCTCCCGAGTAGCTGGGACTACAGGCGCCCGCCACCATGCCCAGCTAATTTTTTGTATTTTGAGTAGAGACAGGGTTTCACCATATTAGCCAGGATGGTCTCGATCTCCTGACCTCGTGATCCGCCTGCCTCAGCCTCCCAAAGTGCTGGAATTACAGGCGTGAGCCACCGCACCCAGCCTAGGCATGGTAGATTTTTGCAGCTACTGTAAATAGAATTGCCTTCTTGATTTTTTTTTGGTTATTTTGTTATTTGCGTATGAAAACTAATAATTTTTCTATGTTGATTTTGTATTTTGCAAGTTTACTGTATTTATTTATCAGTTTTAAAGGTTTTTAGGTAAAATCTTTTGGTTTTCTTAAATATAAGATTATGTAATCTGCAAAAAGGGTCAATTTAAATTTCTTCTTGTTAGCGTGAATGCTTTTTATATTTCTTTCTTGCCTGACTGCTCTGGCTAGGACTTCCAGTTCTGTGTTGAATTAAAGTGATGAAAATGGGCAGCCTGGTCTTGTTTAGTTCTTGAAAAGATTGCTTTTAAGTTATCCCTATTCACTATTATGTTAGCTGTGGGTTTGTTCTACATGGCCTTTATTATTTGAGGTATGTTTCTTCTATGCCTAGTTTTTTGAGGGATTTTATAATAAAGAGATCTTGAATTTTAATAAATAATTTTTCTACATCTATTGAAATTATCATATGGTTTCATCCTTTATTCTAATATTGTGATGTATCACATTTGTTGATCTGCGTATGTTGGACTATGCAGGTCAATCATGGTGAGATTACATCTTTTTTGATGTGCTGTTGGATTTGGTTTGCAATTATTATGTTGAAGATATTTGCATATATGTTCATTAGGAATGTTAGCATACAGTTTTCTTTGTTGTGTCTTTGTCCGGTTTGATAACAGGGTAAGGATGGCACTGTCATATGAGTTGGGAATAATATCTGTAAAATTATTTAGACTAGTTTGAGGATGATTGGCATTAGTTCTTTATTATGCATTTGATAGAATTTGACAGCGAATTCATCCAGTTGTAGACTTTTCATTGTTGTTGTGAGGGTTTTTATTCCTGATTCAATCTTGCTACTCATTGTCCTGTTCAGGTTTTTATTTTTTTCTGAATCAAATCTTGGTAGGTATCATGTTGTCATACATTCATCCATTTACTCTAGATTTTCCAAGTTGTCAATGTATAATTTTCCATAATTGCCTTTAATAATCTTTTGTATTTCTCTAGTATCAGTTATAATCTTTCCTTTTTTAGTTTCTAATATTGTATATTTGGGTATTCTTTTTTATGTATCATTTAACATGGCTCATGATTTACCAGTTTTGTTTATCTTCATAGGAGGGAACATTGTCTATCATTAATTCTCTGTATTTTTTTAGTATATATACTTTTTAAATTTTTAAACACTTACGTTGTTTCCAGTCTTAGCTATTGTGAACAGTCCTGTAACAAACATGGGAGTGCAGATAGCTCTTTGATACACTGATTTCCTTTCTTTTGGATATATACCCAGCAGTGAGATTTCTGTATTATGTGGTAGATCTATTTTTAGTTTTTTGAGGCACTTCTTATCTGTTATCCATAGTGGTTGCAGTAATTTACATTCCTACCAACAGTGTACATGGATTCCCTTTACTGCATAAGCATGCCAGCACTTGTCATTGCCTGATTTTTGGATATAAATTATTTTAACTGTGCGAAATGATCTTTCATAGTATTTTTCATTCGCATTACTCTTATAATTAATGATGTCGAGAAGCTTTCCATATGCCTGTTTGCCATTTGTGTGTCTTCTTTTCAGAAATTTATATTTAAATATTTTGTCCACTTTTAATTATATTGTTAGTTTTTTTTTTCTTACAGACTTGTCTGAGCTTCTTAAATACTTTGGTTATTAATTTCATGCCAGATGCATAGTTTGCAAATATTTTCTCTATTTCTATAGGTTGTCTCTTCACTTGATTGATTGATTCCCTTTCTGTGTAGAAGCCTTTATACTTGATGTAATTTCATTTGTTCATTTATGCTTTGGTTGCCTGTGTTTGCAAGGTATTACTCAAAAAATTTTTTACCCAGACTAAAGTTTTGATAGTTTCAACAATGTTTTCTTTGTAGACGTTTCATATCTTGACATATTAGATTGAAGTCATTAATGCATTTTAACTTAATTTTTGTATACAGTGAGTAATAGGGGTCCAGTTTTATTCTTCTGCATATAGATAGCCAGTTTTCCCAGCACCATTTACTAAAAAGACTGTCTTTTCCCCAGTGTATGTTCTTGGCAACTTTGTAAAAAATAAGTTCACCATAGGTGTTTGGATTTGTTTCTTGGTTCTCCATTCTGTTCCCTTGGTATATTTGTCTGTTTTTATGCCAGTACTATGCTATTTTGGTTACTATAGCTCTGTAGCACACAAATTTGAATTTGAAGTCAGGCAATGTGATACCATTAGTTTTGTTTGTTTGTTTGTTTGTTTTTACTTAGAATGTCTTTGGCTATTCTGGGTCTTTTGCAGTTTTATATAAATTTTCATATTTTTTTCTATTTCTGGAAAGAATGTCATTGGTATTTTGAAAGAGACTGCATTTAATCTGTAAATTGCTTTGAGTAGTATGGACACTTTAACATTATTGATTCTGCCAATCCATGAACATTGAATATCTGTTTTTAATTTGTGTCTTCTTCAATTTATTCTATCAGTGTTGTATAATTTTTTATTATAGATATCTTTTACTTCTTTGGTTAAGTTGATACTTAGGTATTTAATTTTATTGTGGCTGTTACAAATAGAATCACTTTTTAATCTCTTTTAGATTGTAGGCCTATAGAAATCTACTGATTTTTTTTTTTTTTTTTTGACGGAGTTTCACTTTGTTGCCAGGCTGGAGTGCAGTGTCACAATCTTGGCTCACTGCAACCTCCACCTCCCAGGTTGAAGCGATTCTCCTGCCTCAGACTACCGAGTACCTGGGACTACAGGCACGTGTCACTACACCCAGGTAATTTTTGTATTTTTAATTGAGATGGGGTTTCACCATGTTGGCCAGGATGGTCTTGATCTCTTGACCTTGTGATCCATCTGCCTCGGCCTCCCAAAGTTCTGGGATTACAGGCATGAACCACCCTGCCTGGCCCTGATTTTTGTATATTAATTTTGGGTATTTTTGTGTTTGTAAATTTTAAAAAATTTTTGTGAGTACATAGTAGCCATATATACTTATGGGATATATGATTTGTTTTGATACTGGCATGCAATGAGAAATAAGCACATCATGAATAATGGAGTATCCATCCCCTCGAGAATTTATCTATTGAGGTGCAAACAATTCAACTACACACTTTAAGCTATTTTAAAATGTACACTTATTATTTACTGCAGTCACCCTGTTGTGCTAGCAAATAGCAGGTCTTATTTATTCTTTCTACCTTATGTTAACAATCCCCACCTCTCTCCCCCAAACCCTCACTAGCCTTCCTAGCCTCTAATAACCACCCTTACCCTCTCTATTTCCATTAATTCAGTTGTTTTTATTTTTAGATCTCACAAATAAGTGAGAATGTGTGATTTTTTTTTTCTCCCTGTGTCTGGTTTCTTTCACTTAACATAATGCTCTCCAGTGTCATCCATGTTGTTTCAAATGACTGGAACTCATTGTTTTTTATGACTAAATAGTACTTTATTGTATATATGTACCATATTTTCTTTATCTGTTGATGAAAACTTAGGTTGCTTCCAAAGTATGTCTATTGTAAACAATGCTGCAACAAACATAGGAGTGCAGATATCTCTTTAATACACTGATTTTGCTTCGTTGGAGTATGTACCCAGCAGTGGGATTGCTGGATCACATGGTACCTCTATTTTTCGTTTTTTGTAAAATATCCAAACTCTTCTCCATAGTGGTTGTACTAATTTACATTCCCACCAACAATGTACAAGGATTTTCTTTTCTACACATTCTTGCTTGTGTTTGTTATTGCCTGAACTTTAGATATAAGCTAATTTAACTGGGGTGAAATTATATCTCATTGTAGTTTAGAATTTCATTACTCTGATTATTGATGGTGAGCATTTTTATATGCCTGTTTGCCATTTGTATGTCTTATTTTCAGAAATATCTGTTCAAATATTTTGCTTATGTTTTTATTAGATTATTAGATTTCCTCATACAAAGTCATTAGAGCTCATTGTATATTATTGCTATTAATTTATTGTCAGACGGTTAGTTTGCAAATATGTTCTTCCACTCTGTAGGCTGTCTCTTCACTTTATTGACTATTTAGTTTGCTGTGCAGAAGCTTTTTAAATTAATATAATACCATTTGTCCATCTTGCTTTGGTTGTTTGTGTTTGTGGGGTACTGCTCAAGAAATTTTGGCCCAGAATAACATCCTGACGATTTTCTCCAAAGTTTTATTGTAGAAGTTTCATGATTTGAGGTCTTAGATTTAAGACTTTAATGCATTTTGATTTAATTTTTGTGTATGGTGAGATATAGGAGTCTATTCTTCTTGATTTGAATATCTTATTTTCCCAGCACCATTTATTGAAGACACTGTGTTTTGTTTGTTTGTTTGTTTTTCCAGTGACTGTTTGATATGGTTTGGCTCTGTGTCCTAACCCAAATCTCATGTTGAATTGTAATTCTTTTGTTTTTTTGTTTGTTTATTTGTTTTTGAGATGGAATCTTGCTCTGTCGCATAGGCTAGAGTGCAGTGGCATGATCTTGGCTCATTGGAACCTGTGCCTCCTGGGTTCAAGTGATTCTTCTGCCTCAGCCTCCTGAGTAGCTGGGACTATAGGTGCATGCCACCATGCCTAGCTAATTTTTGTATTTTTGGTAGAGACGAGGTTTCACCATATTGGCCAGGCTGGTCTTGAACTCCTGGTCTCGTGATACACCTGCCTCAGCCTCCCAAAGAGCTGGGATTACAGGCATGAGTCACCATGCCCGGCCTATGAATTGTAATTCTTGATGTTCAAGGACAAAACTGGTGGGAGGTTATTGGATCATGGGGGTGAATTACCCCCTTGCTGTTTTTTTGATGGTGAGTGAGTTCTCACAAGACATAATGGTTTCAAAGCATGTGTCACTTCCCCCCTCACTCTCTCTTTCCCTGTCCTGCTCCACCATTGTAAGACATATTTGCTTCCTCTTCACCTTCTGCCATGATTGTAAGCTTCCTGAGGCTTCCCCAGCCATGCCTCCTATACAGTTTGTGGAAATGTGACTCAATTAAACCTCTTTTATTAATCAGTTACTCAGCCTCAGGTAGTCCTTTACAGCAGTGTGAGAATAGACTAATACGGAAAATTGGTACCAGAGAAGTGGAGAATTGCTGTAAATATACCTGAAAATGTGGAAGCAGCTTTGGAACTCGGTATTGGGCAGAGGTTGGAACTGTTTGGGGGGCTCAAAAGAAGACAGAAAAAATGAGGAAAAGTTTGGAACTTCCTAGAGACCTGTTGAATGGTTTAGACCAAAATGCTGATGATGATATTGACAGTGAAGCCCAGAGTGAGGTAGACTCAGATGGGGATGAGAAACTTATTGGAAACTGGAGTAAAGGTCACTCTTGCTATGCTTTAGCAAAGAGACTGGTGACATCATGCCCCTGCTCTAGAGATGTGTGGAACTTAAAATTTCTAAGCAGCAAAGCATTCAGGATGTGGTCTGGCTGCTTGTAACATTATGTGCTTATATGCATGAGCAAACAGATTATCTGAAACTGGAACTTATATTTAAAAGGGAAGCAGAGCATAAATGTTTGGAAAATTTGTAGCACAACAATGTGGCAGAAAAGAAAAACACAATTCCTGGGGAGGAATTCAAGGCTGCATAAACTTGCATAAGTAAAGAAGAGCCAAATATTAATAGCCAGGACAATGTGGAAAATGCTTCCAGTGCATTTCAGAGACCTTCTCAACAGCCCCTCTCATCATAGGAGGCCTATGATAAGAAAAATGGTTTTGTGGACCATGCCCAGGGCCCCACTGCTCTGTTCAGTGTCATGACATGGCATCCTGCATCGCAGCCACTCCAGCTCCATTTTCAGCCATGTCTGATAAAGGCCAATGTACAACTAGGGCCATTGCTTCAGAGTGCAAGTCACAAGCCTTGGTGGCTTCCACATGCTGTGGCACTTGTGTGTGTGCAGAAGGCAGGAGTTGAGGCTTGGAAGCCTCTGCCTGGATTTCAAAGTATATATGGAAATACCTGAATGTCCAGGCAGAAGTCTGTGGTGGGGTGGAGCCCCCATGGAAGACATCTACTATGGCAGTGCAGATGAGAAATGTGGGGATGGAGCCCCCACATAGAGACCTCACAGGGGCATTGCTTAGTGGAGGGGTGAGAAGAGGGTCACCATCCTCCAGATCCCATAATGGTAGATTCACTGACAGCTTGCACTGTGCACCTGAAAAAGCCACAGGCACTCAATGCTGGCCCATGAAAGCAGCCACTGGGGCTATATGCTGCAGAACTACAAGAGTGGAGCTGCCAAAGGGCTTGAGAGCTCACCCCTTGCATCAGTGTAGGCTGGATGTGAGACATGGAGTCAAAGTAGATTACTTTGGAATTCTAAGATTTAAAGACAGCCCTGTTGGGTTTTGAACTTTCATAGGACCTGTAGCTTCTTTGTTTTGGCCAATTTCTCCCTTTTGGAAATGTAATATTTACCAATACCTATATCCCAATTGTATCTTGGAAGTAACTTACTTGTTTTTGATACTACAGGCCCATAGCCAGAAGGGAATTACGTTGTCTCAGATGAGTAAAGACTGGAGGACTGTTGAGAAAGAATAATTATATTTTGCAATGTGAGAAGTACATGAGATTTGGGAGGCGCCAAGGGTAGAATAATATGATTTGAAAAGGTATTCCTGCCCAAATCTCATGTCTAATTGTAATCCCCAATTTTGGAGGATGGGCCTGGTGGGAGGTGATTGGATCATGGGGGCAGACTTACCCTTTGCTGTTCTCATGATAGTGAGTGAGTTTTCAGAAGATCTGGTTGTTTAAATGTGTGTAGCACCTTCCTCTTGGCTGTCTTCTACTGCTCTGGCCATGTAAGATGTGCCTGGTTCCCCTTCACCTTCTGTCATGATTGTATGTTTCCTGAAAACTCCCCAGCCATGCTTTCTGCACAGCCTATGGAACTTTAGGGCAATTAAACCTCTTTTACTTATAAATTACCCAGTGTCAGGTAGTTCTTTATAGCATTGTGAGAAGGAACTAATACATGCTTCTTTTTTTGTTTGTTTGTTTTACTTTTTTCGCTTTCTTCTCTGACTGTATATTTTCAAATAAACTGTCTTCAAGCTTTCTAATTATTTCTTCTGCTTCATCCATCCTGCTATTAAAGAACCCTGATTCATTCTTCAGTACACCAATTGCATTTTCCAGCTCCAGAATATCATCTTGATTTTTTAAAATTATTTCAATATCTTTGTTAAATTTATCTGATAGAATTCTGATTGTCTTCTCTGTGTTATCATGAATGTCTTTGAGTTTCCTCAAGACAGTTATTTTGAATTCTCTTTCTGAATGATCACAAATCTCTGTTTCTCCAAGATTGGCCCCTGGTACCTTATTTAGTTCATTTGGTGAGGTCATATTTTTTTTCCTGGACAATTTTAATACTTATAGATGATCTTCAGTTTGTGGGCATTGAAAAGTTGGTATTTCTTGTAGTCTTCACTGTCTGGGCTTATTTTTAGCCATCCTTCTTAAGAGAATTTCCAGATAGTTGAAAAGACTTTGGTGTTGTGATCAAAACTGCATCTGCTTTAGGGGACATCCCAAACCCAATAAGGCTGTGGTTCTTGCGGAGTCATAGACATACTGCCTTTATGGTCTTGGAAATGATGCAGGAGAATTATCTGGTGTGATTGGCAGAAACTCTTATTTTCTTCTCTTTCTTTATTCCAAAGATACAGAGTCTCACTTTGTTCTGAGCCACTTTATGCTAGGGTGGAATGACACAAGTCCTTCTGTTTCCACCACAACCAGGACTGCACTTGGTCAAGCCTGCTGCCAGCAAAGCTCTGGATTTCACCCAAGGCCAGCTGTAACATCTATTTGGCTACAGCTTATGTTCACTCAAGTACCTGAAGTTCTACATTCAGAAGATGGCAAAGCCAGTCAGGCCTGTGTCCTTCCCTTCAGAGCCACCAGTTGCCACAGGCCCCAGTCAGGTCCAGTCACACCATCTAGGAACCACTCACTAGGCTCAAAATTTTTTAAAGTCTACGTAGTATTCTAACATAATGCAGTTGATCTGGCACTCAAACAAAGACTGTATCCTCTTTTCCTACTTTTCCCTCCCTTTTCTAAAGGTGGTCTCTGTTGGGGCCATGTGCTGTGCAAATTTGGGTTAAGGTAGTGCTAAAACCAGCACTCCTTTAGCAATCCCTGCTGGTGTGTCAGTAGGTCATGTGCACCCCTGTCCTCTGGCTCTTGGCCCAGATTAGCACTAGAACTCGCTTAGGAGTTGCAGTCTTTATGGCCTATATTGCCTTTAAAGTATATTTTGAGCCCCATATCACTTTAGCTTGTGGGGAAAGGGCTTGTGGAAACTTGAGTTTCTATGACTGGGATTTGCAACTTCCTTCTGGCAAAGGGTTGGTTTAAATGCTTTCTCCATGTTCGAGCATCAGCTGAATTTGGTCCAGTTATTCTTTCCGCTATAACAGGGAAGTACTGAGTTTAATGCCTCACATTTGCTATGCTCTCCATCATCCAACTGCAAAGAAATGCTCTCTGCAGCACATCGCCTCTGCCATCAAATGAGGGAGGGTTGCCACTGGTAATTCAAGACATTATTTTCTACCTCTTTGGTGTCTCAGTGATATAAAATTACAACCAGGTACAGTGAGTGCTCAGCTCATTTTCAGTTCTTGTGAAGTTGCTTTTCCTGTGTAAAAAGTTGTTGAATTGGTGTGCTGAGTGGGACAATCGGTGCAGCCTTCTATTTCACTATCTTGCTCTTTTCCCACTTCCTTAGTGTACATATTTTTTTGTTCTCTTTTTATCTTAATTGTTTTTATTCTGCTTATATTATGTTTGGTTAATTCTTGCTTTTCTACTTTGTTAGGTCCATTGTTAGATTTTTTTTTTGGAATTTTTATAACTTTTTTGATGTAGATGTCTGTTGCTTTAAACTTTACTCAGCACAGTTTTAGGTAAATTTATGTTTTTCTTACACTATATGGTCATTTTTATTTATTTCAAATTTAATTTTTAAAAATTTATTTATTTATTGAGACAGCATCTCACCCTCTCCTCCAGGATGGAGTACAGTGGTGCAATCACAGCTCACAGTAGCCTAAACCTATTGGGTTCAAGCCTTTCTCCCACCTCAGTCTGTCAAATAGCTTGGACTACAGGTATGCACCAATACACACAGCTAATCTTTGTACTTTTTGTAGAGACAGGGTTTTGCCATTTACTCAGGGATGTCTTGAACTCCTGGGTTCAAGTGAACCACCCACCGCAACCTCCAAGAGTTCTGGGGTTACAGGCATGAGCCACCATGTCCAATCCATTGTTAAAAAATTTTTATCTTTATTTCTACATGACCCAATAATCTTTAGAAGTATTTGGTTTATTTTCCATGTATTTTTATATTTTCCAAAGTTTCTCTTATTATTTATTTCTAGCTTTATTTCAATGTAGTCTGAGAAGACTTGATATGATTTAGATGTTTAAAAATTTCTTGAAATTTGTTTTTGGCCTAACATATGGTCTATCCTACAGTATGTTTGTTGTGCTGCTGAAAAGACTCTATTCTGCAGTTGTTAGATAATAAATTTGGCTGATCCAGTGATGAATGAATATATAGAGAGAATTTTTGTATCACTTGGATACCTTGGTCATTTTACAATTATACAATGACATTGTTTGGTTTACAGTTTTTGACTTAAAGTCTGTTTTATCTAATATAAGAATAACTACTCCTGCTTGCTTTTCATTTCTGTTTAGCTACAATATCTTTTTTTTCATAACTTTACTTTCAGTCTATATGTGCCTTGAAGGTAACGTGTATCTTGTATGTAGAATATATTTAGTTTATGTATTCTTTTACTATCATTCAGCCAGTCTTAATATTTTAAGTGGATGATTTAGTAAATTTACTTTCAGTGTTGCTATTGATATTTGAGGTGTTATTTCTATCGCATTGGTAATTGTTTTCTGGTTGTTTTGTACACTCTTTATTCGTTTTCTTTCTCTTACTGTTTGTTATTGTGGTTTAGTGTTTTTTTTTTTTTTTGTAGTGGTATAATTTGAGTCTTTTCTCTTGGTCAGTTGTTTGCCTTACCAGTGAGTTTTATACTTTTGTTTCTGTGATAATAAATGTCATATTTTCACTTCCAGGTTTAGTTGTACCTTGAGAAATTCTTGTATGGCTTGTCTTGAGATTGTGAATTAACTTGTATGGCTGGTCTAGACATTGTGATATAACTTCTACTTTATAAAATTTATGATGGATAATTTTTTCTGGGTATAGTATCTTTAGGTGACAGTTTTTTTGCTTTGATCACTTTGAGTATATCATTCCATTCTCCTTAGGCCTGTAATATTTCTGATGGAAAATTTGCTGTTAGTCTGATGGGGCTCCCTTTATAGGTCACAGTGCTTTTCCCTTGTTGTTTTTACAATTATTTGTTTGTCTTTGACATTAGACAGTTTTTGTGTAGTGTGTCATAAAGAAGACATTTTTCCATTTTATTTGTTTGGGGATCTCTGAGCCTCCTGTATCTGGATGTTGAAATCTCTTGCCTAGATTTGGGTGGTTTTCATCTATTATTTTTTTAAATAGGTAATCTAACACTTTTTTTTCTCCCTCTCTTTGCTTTCTGTGACACTGATATCTTGAATATTTGGTCACTTTATGGTATACCATATGTCTCAACATACTGCTCATATGTTTTAATTTTTTGTTCTGAGTGGGTTATCTCAGAAGACATGGCTTCAAGTTTTGTAAGTTTAACTTCTTCTTAATTTATTCTATTGAAGTTTTTCAATGTGTTTTATATTTTATTCAGTGAAGTCAGTTTTCCATTCCAAAATCTGTTTGGGGTTCTAAAATATATATCTCTTTGGTAAAATTTTTATTCACATCCTGATTATTTTTATCAATAATATTTTTCAGTATTTTTTATCTGACTGAATTTCTTTAAGATCAGTATTTTGAATCTTCTTTTAAATTTTATAAATTTATTTTTTATTGGAATCCTTTTCTCAATAGTTGTGCTACTGTTTGGTGGAGTGTTTGTTTGCTATATGTATGTTAGATGCAATTGTTCTTTAGTGTTGTTCAAGTCTTCTATTTTCTTATTTTTCTTCTGTCTGATTTTTCTGTTTATTAGTGAATGTGAAATAATGAAGACTGTTATTTTACAGTGTCTATTTCTCCCTTCCATTCTGTAATATTTGCTTCATATGTTTGGGAAATAATAATTGTATGTATATGTTTATGATGATTTTACCTTTATAGTGAATTGATCCCTTTATTAAATATAATATCCTTTCTTATCTCTTATGAGAGACTTTTTATACTGAAAGTATACTTTGTCTAATATTAATGTAGCACCCTCCTGCTCTCTTTTAGTTACTATTTGCATGTTATATATTTTTTCAATCCTTATGTCTGTGTCCTTACATCTAAACTAAGTTCTTATAGATTCTATATAGTTGGATTTTGTTTATTATTATTATGTTATTATTTTAAACCATCTGCTCATTTATGACTTTTGCTTCAGGAGTAATTTTTTTAAATATTTTAAAAATAATTACTGATAAGGAAAGACTTAGTATTGTCATTCTGTTATTTCTTTTATATATGTCATAGCCATTCTTACCTCCTTTTTTTCATTCTATATTCTTATATTTGTAGTTGATAGCTCATAATGACACATTTTACTCTCATCATATATATATATATATAAAATTTTACTTGTGTTTACCATGATGATTACATATAACATTGTAAAAATAATCATAATATATTATTAACTGATACCAAATTAATATTAATTGCATACAACACCTCTAGTTTTTAAAACAGATACTTAAATTTTATGCTATGATAAAAAATGCATAACAAAATTTATCTTAACTAAGTTTACACATCATTGTTGTTAAGCATATAAACATTGTTGCACAATGTTCAGAACATTTCAATTTGCAAAACTGAAACTTGATTGAAACTAAACAAAAATTACCCATTTCTCTCGCTCCCTCAGCCGCTGGAAACCACAATTCTAGTTTCTGTTTCTATTAGTTTGATTACTCCAGATGACTCATATAGGTGGAATTGAAATTGTGCAGTATTTTGCATTTTGTGACTGCCAATAGAAGATTTTTAGTACTATAAACTTTCCTCTTAACACTGCTTTAACTGTGTCCCAAAGAGTCTAGTATGGTGTATCTTTGTTCTTATTAGTTTCAAAGAATTTATAAGTTTTTGCCTTGATTTTCTTATTTATTCAAAAGTCAGTCAAGCATAAGTTGTTTACCTTTCATGTAATTGTATGGTTTTGAGCAATTTCCTTCTTATTGATTTCTATTTGTAGTGCACTGTGGCCTGATAATGTGTTTGGCATAATTTCAGCTTTCTTTAAATTTTCTGAGATTTGTTTTATGAAAAACTGTGTAGTCAATTTTAGAATATGTACCATGTGCCAATGAGAAAAAAAGTATGTTTTGTTGTTTTTGTGTGGAGAATTCTATAGATGTCTGTTAGCCACATTTGGCCAGTTGTCAAGTTCAGGTTCTTGTTAGTTTTCTGCCTCAATGATCTGTCTAATAGTGTCAGTGGTATGTTGAAATCTACCACTATATTGTGTGGTTATCTAAGTCTTTTTACAGGTAGCTAAGAACTTGCTTTATGAATCTGGGTGCTCCTGTTTTAGAAAATTTCTACCTTTTTATCAAACCTTCAAGTTTATTTTATTGTCATAAATTGTATATTTATTTATCATATACCAATTAACATAAAATTTTATATGGTTTAAGTGGGTGCCTCTTCCAAATCCCATGTTATAATGTAATCGTCAGTGTTGGAGGTGAGACCTTGTAGGAGGTATTTGGGTCATAGGTTCAAATTCCTCATGAATAGCTTCATGCCCTACCCTTAGTAATGGGCTCACATGAGATTTTGTTGTTAAAAGAATTGAACAATGAGATCACATGGACACAGGAAAGGGAACATCACACTCTGGGGACTGTTGTGGGGTGGGGGGAGGGGGGAGGGATAGCATTGGGAGATATACCTAATGCTAGATGACGAGTTAGTGGGTGCAGCACACCAGCATGGCACATGTATACATAGGTAACTAACCTGCACAATGTGCACATGTACCCTAAAACTTAAAGTATAATAAAAAACAAATAAATAAATATATTAAAAAAAAAGAGTTTAGTGCCTCTCTCCTCTCTCTTCCTCCTACTCTCACCATGTGACATGCCTGATCCCTTTTGCCTTCTGCCATGAGTAAAAGATTCTAGAGGCCTCAGCAGAAGCCAAACAGATGCTGGTTCTATGCTGTAAAGCCTGCAGAACCATGATCCAGTTAAATCTTTTTTTTTAAATAAATTACCCAGCCTCAGCTATTCCTTTATAGAAATGCAACACAGGGTAACAGTGATATTTTATGCTTTTTATTGTAAATATATAAAAGAATTAGAAGTAGTTATGCAAGAAAATAAAAATAATACTTTTTATATTTGTTAATGCATTTTCCTTTATTAGGTGATTTTATATTTTGATATGGCTTTTAGTTTCTGTGTATATCCTTTCATTTCAACTTTAAGGGCTCCTTTTAGCATTTATGTATGATGGACATATGGTAATACACTCTCTGAGCTTCTGCTTATACAGAAAGCCTTAATTTCCCCCTTATATTTGAAGAATTGTTTTCCTAGACATAGAATTTTTAGATGATATAGGGTATTTTTAGCACTCAAAATTTGTCATCTCATTGCCTCTGACCTCAAAAGTTTCTGTTAAGATATCCACTGTTAATCTTATCGAGGATTCTTTGTATTTGATGATTCATTTTTCTTTTGCTGCTTTCAATATAATTCTTTTTGCTTGTCTTTATACAGTGAAATTATTACTTATCTCAGTGTAGTTCTCATTTAATTCATTCTGTTGAGGTTCTTTAGCTTCCTGTATTTGTACATCCATGTCATTCATCAAACTGGGAAGTTGGCCAATATTTCTTCAAATAACCTTTTTGTCCCTTTCTCTTTTTATTTTTATAGAATTTTCATAATGAATATATTATTCTATTTTCTGGTATATCATTAGTCTCTTAGGCTCTGTTCACTTGTTTTTACTTTTTTCTCCTCTTTTATCCTTTGGCTTTTTTTTTTTTAATTCTTGTGACAGTAAAATTACCAGTCTTTAAATTTGCTGATTATTTTTTATTCGAGTTCAATTCTGCTGCTGAACTTCTAAAGTTTTTAACTTAGTTATCATATACTTCAGTTTCAGAATTTAAAAATAATTTCGGTCTCTGCTAATAGTTTCATTTACATATTATTTTTTGTTTTCTTTTAGTTTTCTTTCTGTGTTAATTTTTAGCTCTTTGAGCATATTTTAAACTTCTGTTTTCACATCTTTGTTTTTTAGGTCCAAAGCCTGTGTTTATTTAGTGTAAATTTCTAGAGATTTATTTTGTTCCTTTGAATATGCTAATTCTCCTGTATACTTGGTTATTGTTAAATGCCTTAATTTCCTAAAAGTCTTATGCTTGCTTCTTCTTGGGGTGATTTATGTTCTATGGTATTTATCACCATGTTATCTTTTGCCCCCAGACCTGCGTGCATCTGCAATATTTCTGCAGCCTTCACATGCTGTGGCACTCACTCCTGATTTCTGTGTCCTTTACAGCTTGATATCTGACCTATTTCAAGCTATGCAGCTATTCTCATCTGAAGTCATCAGTTGGGATGGAAACCAGTCTCTCAGCAGTACTTAAACAGGTCAGAAAGTTGCCAGCAGTTCCAATCTATTATTTTTATCTCAAAGGAAAAATCAGCAGTAGAGTGGCTTCCCTCCTTCGACTCAGTTTCAGGGAAGGGGTGAGGTAAGTTTGAACAAAAATTTCAACAAGTTTTCCATCATTTTGAGCGTGGTTTTATGTTGATTCAACATTTGCTTCATTGCTGCAGATTTTTTACTTATTGCTAGAGCTCTCTCAAAGCTATTTTAGTCAGTCTGTTGTTTACCTGATGTTCCCATGAAGAGGTAAGGGCCTGGAGCTTTCTAGTCCATCACCTTGCTAATGTAATTGTTTTAATACAAATTTATAAAGATCCCAGAACAACTGAAATTTCTCTATTGATTAGTAAGATGACATTTTGTGTTTTCAGCTTGCATGGTTAATTTCATAATCCCATACTAACATCCATAACAAGGACTGCTTCTATGGATTTTTCTTCCTGGCATTTCTGTCAAACTGTACACCTGTATTTCCTAACACTTCATATTTTTAATCACTTTAATATTGCTATTACATTTTACTTAGCTTACCCAAAGGTAAACTTAATACTTTTCTATTATATCACTCAGTTCCTCTAAATTCCTATCATGCTTAATATTACACTCAGACTTTAATTATTCATATTCAATATTTCACAATTATTTTTTTAATTACATCTTTCCTTCCTTCAGCTTCTCAATTTAACTCCCATATACTCCTAGAATCATAGAATTTTGGAGCTACAAAGGGAAAATTTTTAGACATAATTGTATTAACCTCCTTTATCTTCTATATAAGAAAACTATGCTCTAATGAGTTTCAGATATGTTTCCAGATTTGTATATGTTACAATAAAGTTGGATTAAAAGATAGATTTCTTGACTCTAAAGGTAACACTGTTTTATAGGAATAAGATTATGCCTCTTCATTCAATGTCTGTTATCTTGGTCTTTTCCTAAATTTTCTCTCATAACTCTGGCCTAGATCTTCCTTGTCACATGCTTGGACCACTGTAATATCCACCTTTACATTGGACTGTGTACAAATTTCTTATTTCCCTCCTCACCCCATTTTGTCCTCTATGCTGTAATATTCTTCATATATGTCATCACATAACTCAACTGTTCAATGACCCACCCATGTCTCTCAGTTTAATTTCTGGAAGACAAAACTCTACATTTCATAAATTAAAAAAAATTTGTTTCTGTGGTCTACCTTCTGGAATCTACTGTTGTTGATTAGACTTGTCTTTTCTTCTCATATATTACCAACCTATCATTTATAGTCTCGCACTAATCTCATTTTCTACTTGAATCTTCTATAATTACTTTGTTCCTATTTGGAAATCTGTAGCAGTTTATTTTATGTATTTTTGTTTTGGCTGCATTTCACAGCCTTGCAGTGCATACATATTTCCTATGTCTTTAATTACTGGTCAGTTCTTGAATGTAAGGACTATATCATCAGCCACATGGAAATCCCTTATTCCTTGGCACAGTGCAATGTTCAAAGTAAGCTCTTAATATTTTGTTAATTGCTGATTGACATGTAAAACCACTGAACAAATGTTGAACAAGTCAGTAAATTATTTCTACATCCTCTGAACATGCAATAGCATATGTTTATGAGATAACACCACGTGAAAAGAGACTGAAACAATCTCCACAGTCTACTCCCCTGGCACCATACGGAACTTGTAATTGCTTCCAGGTACTCCATCATAATTTTCTGCACCAAAAACTGGAGCTCATCCACTTATTTCCCCAAACCCATGCTTATTCTTTTATAAAAAAAAATTGTTTCAACAATGCCATTTTTTAAAACCAAGCTCTTGGCAAAGACTTTCAGTTTAACCCAATTCTTATTGCTGCTCTCCCTTGAGGACTGTAGCTGCTTTGTCTGCCTCTGATTGTTCCCACATGTAGTATACTAAACTCTCCTGCAAGGAGTGGTGCCCAAAATCCCAAGAAAAAGTCCTTGCCACCACTCCTGTTGCCATGCGCCTGAGCCATTTGGAATTCAGCCATAGAGTGGCACAAATTATGATTCAGTCCTGTTGCTGTCAAGGGCCAAATTTGTTTCTTGAAATGCAAAAAAGGAAAATAAAGTGGAGAATAAACTAAATTTCAGCCAAATTTCCAGAAACTGGCAAATCTATTTTCTACAACATGCCATGGTTACTGGCTTTGCAGTTCTTGCAATGTTAACAATGCACATTTTCTTTTGTAAAATATTTTATTTATTAAATTCTGTTTAGATAGCTTTGGAGCTGTAGCTTGTCACCCCACCCCACAGTGCTACTGCTGCTATTTTATTATACTCATTTTGTACTGATACATTTTAAAACCATCAATAACTAAAGTACTACAGAAACTGCCTTATGATTATTTCTTTCTCTCTCTCTTTCTCTCTCTCTCTCCATTTATCTTTCTGTCTCTCTTAATCTGTCTTTCTTTCTCGTGTGTGTGTGTGTGTGTATGTGTGTGTATACACATAAGAAAATATATGCATATGTGTGTGTATATATATATATCTTCTGGAAAGACTAATTCCACAAACAAACAGTCATTTGGACACAAACAAATAAGCTAGCTTTTCATTTCCAGTGGGTGGTAGGATAGCCAACATCTGCCTTACATAAGAGTGTTTGCCTATATAACATCACTTAGTTTTCTATTGTTCTGGGAACTGCTCATGCATGTAATATAAAGTTCCCAGGAGTTAACACCTCCTGTTTTTAATTATGTTTTCAGAATTATTTTGTTTGCCACAGCGTAGACTGCATTTTTTCCAGATGGTCACAATAAGTAAAATATTTGTATAGATCACCCAAGCTCTTAAAATATATTATTGTATTTATATTGTATTTCTATAATTAACATTGTCTTATAGGGATAGAAAAGGTAGTATTTTAGATATTATCAAAGTGAAAATGTATGACTCATCCTATCTTCCAAGAAAATACTGAATAAATATCTGTAGTCCAATACCTCTAGTATATGATAGGAATAATAATCCACAGAAAGATCGAAATAACAACTAAATAATATCACTCACCATCTTCCCCAAATATTTGAATGATATAAAATCCAATTTAGTTACCATCTGTGCTAAAGCTTAAGATAGATCATTAATGTTCAAAAAGCTGATAGAACACTGCACACCACAGCAATAAATCTGGTATAAGATATGGCTTTCCTGAACTTTGCTCTAACCTTAACTGCTAACATAGTTTTACTAAAACCACATTCTCCCTGAGTATTTTCTTCATCCAAGAATCTATGGCAGGTCTCTATTATATTTAAAATAGAATTCAGAATATTTGTGCTTCTTTTAAGGCCCACAATTTTCTATAGCAGGTCTCTATTATATTTAAAATAGAATTCAGAATATTTGTTCTTCTTTTAAGGTCCACAATCTTCTCATTCCATCATTTCTATATAACCTTATCTCAGACTCACCCCAAAGCAAGGGCACCTATCTTGTAAGACAAACTTCCTCATACATTCCATGTTAGTTACTACCTCTATACCGTTATTCACATTGTGTTTTGGAATAAGTATGTTTCTCCAACGGTCAATATTTATAACACATAATATTTTAAGGTCCAGTTGAGGTACTTTTTCTTCTCCAAAGTCTTCCCGGAATTACTCTGGTCCAAAATACACTTACATTTTTATGAGTTCTTATTACATATAGTTTCCATACCACAACACATAGTAAGTGTTTGGAATTCAACTCTAACTGCTCGATTTGCTCCATTTTCATATGTGATGTCTTTCTAAGCAAACTATACATGCTTTAGGGACAATGACTACTTATCATTTTAAACTATTATTTTAGGTTCAGAGGTACAGGTGCAAGTTTGTTATGTAGGTAAATTGCATGTCACAAGGATTTGGTATACAGATCATTTCATCACCCAGGTGATAAGCATAGTAACTGATAGGTAGTTATTTTTTTTCATTTTACCTTCTCCCTCCTCCTATTCTCCACCCTCAAGTAAGTCCTGGAGTGTGTTGTTTCCTTCTTTGTGGCACAATGACTACTTATGTTTCTATTTTGTATTCACCCCTTAACACCCAGCATTTATTTCTGGACATTTTGCAAGTCCTGAACAGAGTTTTGATTAACTAATGCCCAAATATAAAATTGATTGCCCAGGTATAATTAATATACATATTTAATTGGCATTTTAAAAATCTAGCATTTAGATACATCTTTGAGATTATGTAATGCTTTATTTTATAGTAACATGATATATATTGATTATTTTATTTTATTTTATTTTTTTCTTATACTTTAAGTTCTAGGGTACATGTGCACAACGTGCAGGTTTGTTACGTATGTATACATGTGCCATGTTGGTGTGCTGCACCTATTAACTCCTCATTTATATTAGGTATGTCTCCTAAGGCTATCCCTCCCCACTCCCTCCACCCCACGACAGGCCCCGGTGTGTGATGTTCCCCACTCTGTGTCCAAGTGTTCTCATTGTTCAATTCCCACCTATGAGTGAGAATATGTGGTGTTTGGTTTTCTGTCCTTGTGATTGATAGTTTGCTCAGAATGATGGTTTCCAGCTTCATCCATGTCCTAAAAGTGAAATAACCTGTGTAATTGAATGCTTCTGAAATTTATTGTAGATATTATCAGAACTGTCATTATTAGGTTAGAACAGAACTTTTTTGAGTTAGGCAGTATAAAAATGGTTCTTCACGGAAGAATGAACTCAAATATTTGAGTTAAAGATTTTACTTGGCATTTATATGTATGAAAGTGCCATTATCTTTTAAAATAGAAAACAATATTTTGTGTATATTTACTTATCCCCGTGCTGGAAACATTGCAGCCATTGGTCTAAACTTTATGAGCAATAAATAGGTTATGACACCCAAGGGAAGAAGCTTCAGGTTTTAAGGGTAAAATCAAAACCACAATGAGATACCATCTCACACCAGTTAGAATGGCAATCATTAAAAAGTCAGGAAACAGCAGGTGCTGGAGAGGATGTGGAGAAATAGGAACACTTTTACACTGTTGGTGGGACTGTAAACTAGTTCAACCATTGTGGAAGTCAGTGTGGCGATTCCTCAGGGATCTAGAACTAGAAATACCATTTGACCCAGCCATCCCATTACTGGGTATATACCCAAAGGACTATAAATCATGCTGCTATAATGACACATGCACATGTATGTTTATTGCGGCATTATTCACAATAGCAAAGACTTGGAACCAACCCAAATGTCCAACAATGATAGACTGGATTAAGAAAATGTGGCACATATACACCATGGAATACTATGCAGCCATAAAAAATGATGAGTTCATGTCCTTTGTAGGGACATGGATGAAATTGGAAATCATCATTCTCAGTAAACTATCGCAAGAACAAAAAACCAAACACCGCATATTCTCACTCATAGGTGGGAATTGAACAATGAGATCACATGGACACAGGAAGGGGAACATCACACTCTGGAGACTGTTGTGTGGTGGGGGGAGGGGGGAGGGATAGCATTGGGAGATATACCTAATGCTAGATGACGAGTTAATGGGTGCAGCACACCAGCATGGCACATGTATACGTATGTAACTAACCTGCACAATGTGCATATGTACCCTAAAACTTAAAGTATAATAAATAAATAAATAAATAAATAAATAAACAGGAAGGGAGGGAAATCTCTTACTTTATTTCAACATGGAGAATAAATTTCTTATTTTAAATTTGTATTTTTCCTTACCACATCCAAACTGGAAGAACACCCTGTGAAGAGGAAGGCAGAGATTGGAATGATGCAGAAGAAGCCAACGAATCTAGGAGAGAGGCATGAATTTCCCCTTCATAGTCCTTGTAAGGAGCCAACCCTGCTGCACCTTTATCTCAAATGTCCAGCTTCCAGAACTGCAAGACAGTAAATTTCTGCTGTTTAAGACAAAAAAAAAAAAAGTTAAGCTTTATATGCACAAAGCAAGACATTACTTATATTAAATGTTGTATCTGTGATCTTTACAACATTTGTCAAATAGTCTATTAGCCAATCAGTTGGTAGGCAGAAGTATCTAAATCACATAAAATAATTGTGCCTAAATAATTCTGGTAACTTATGTATAATCCGTTGAACATCTTGACAATCACTAATTTAACTAATGCAAGTTTGTCAAATAGGGGAACTGGGGATCCTGATACTAATATAATTTTAGAAGATGAACAACAGTAAAGCATTTATGGACTGAGAGCTTAATGTGTTTATTTCTTTTAAAATTTTACAAACTGCTGGGTGTGTTGGCTTATGCCTCTAATCTCAGCACTTTGGGAGACTGAGGCAGGTGAATTGCTTGAGCCCAGGAGTTCACGACCAGCTTGGGCAACGTAGTGAGAACTAATTTCTACTAAAAATTAAACAAAAAAATAGTCAAGTGTGGTGGTACACACCTGAAATCCCAGTTATTCTGGAGACTGTGGCAGTAAGATCATTTGAGCCCAAGATACTGAGACTACTGTGAGCCATGATTGTGCCACTGCACTCCAGCTCAGGCAACAGACTGAGACCCTGTCTCAAAAATAAATAAATACAAATAAAATAAAATTTTACAAACTTTCTGATTTAGCAGTCACTAAAAACCACATGAAAAATCTATTATATATACACCATCTTTTAAAATAAATACATTGTAATTTTGAAAAATTGTGTTATTTCCCTGAAATCAACGTTAGCAAACAATGGGGCTAATATAAATCCAGATATGTTCAACTTCAAAGCCTATACTACAATTACTCTTGTAAAAATAGTTTTCCAGTTATGCCTCAACTTGTTTTAACTAGTGGAAAAAAAAAGCTTTCCAGCCCATTATGAGAAAGAAAATTTAACTTCTCTATTACATAACTTGATTACATAAATTACTATAACCTAATAAGTGCAGTTAACTTGACATCCTCACTTAACATATGGAAGAGCACATTTATGACACATTTATAGACATCAGTATGGCATTGTATATCAGAAATTAAAATGTGGATAAGATTTTGTCCCCCAAATTTTACTACAATAAATTTGTTTTAAGGAAATATTGAAGTAGCAAAGATGTATGTTTAAGAATATTAATTATTACAGTGCTAAAAAATAAAATATAGAACAAAAACTGAATACAAAATGTGACTAGAATGTCAAATAGATGTCTACATTCCCATATTTATTGAAACATTTTTCATTATAGCCAAGATTTGCAAGCAACCTAAGTGCCTCTCAACAAATAAAGAGATTGTTTAAATGTTTTGTGTGTGTGTGTGTGTATAATGGAATACTGTTCAATCTTTAGAAAAAATAAAATTCTGCAATTTGCAACAACATGAATAAAGCTAGAGGACATTTATACTGAATGAAATAAGTCATGTACAGATAAACAAATATTACATGCTCTCACTTATATGTGCAAGCAAAAATTTGAGCTTACACAAGTAAGGGGTAAAATGGTTACTACCAAAAACTAGGGCAGGAGTGCATGGAGAAAGGAAAATGTTGGTTAAAAGGTACAAAATTTCAATTAGATAAGAGAAAAAAGTTATGGTGATCTAATGCATACCAAGTAATTACAATTAATAATAATGAATTTTCTATTTATAATTGCAAAAAGGGGGATTTTAAATGTTCTTAACAAAAATAAATGTGAGAATTGACAGATATATTAATTAACCTAATTTGTTCAATCCACAATGTATACCTGTATCTATGCATCACATTGTACCCCATAAATATATACAATTATTATTCTTTAATATGAATAAAATGTAAAAACAACTACAAAGATTTAAATGTAGTCTTATAAAAGATAAAATAGCAACTATGTAAGGTGATTAATATGTCAATTAGCTTAATTGGTTGTGGCTTTTTTTTTATAATATATGCATACATCAAAACATCAAATTTTACACCTTAAAAATATACCATTTTAATTTGTCTATTATACTTCAATAAAGTTGAAAAAAGTGGCATTGTGAATCACTACAAATATCATAATGTTCAAAATTAAGCAGCATTAATTAAGCAGTTAGATTATTAGTATCCCATGTCAGAAGAAAAGCAGAATAACATTCCATAGCTCCTCTACTCTTTCAGGAACATGTTCTAATTTAAGATGGAAAAGGCTTTAAATGGGTAGATAGATAATAGAGTGATAATAAATTGATGATAGACAGATAGATAGAAAGATAGACAAAAAGAAAAAGAAAACGTTAGGCAAAAGTAGATAAATTTAAAACTTCTGCCGAACAATTCTTAGATAAAATGGACTATAATTGTATAAGAAAGTAAAGAAAGATAAATTTAAGTCTCCACCCTCAAACATTACCAGTAGCAATGAGAATATAGGTGACCAGATAGTTTTTGAGAAAAAGTGAAGTAATTATGAATGTTTTCAGTTTCTAGCCTCGCATAATATTCAAATGCACAAACACATTTTTATTATAACACTCTACAGTTCTTTTCTTGTAGAAATTTTTCTCCCATTTTTCTTCCACTCCAGTGAACCATATTTAATCCACAAGGCCCTAGAAAAAATAATTAGTACAAATAATGATCTCTGAGTTGACATATTAGTTGAGAAAACAATACATTTACAAATATCCATCAAAAGTCCATGCAAAATTGTATTATGGTAACTCTCATTTAATCATCTAAGAAATGTCTTAGATGACTAATGCTTTTCAAAAAATATTTCAGTGATAAGAAAATTTGGCTTGGAGTGGGAGGTGAAGCAAGGTACTGAAATAGAAAACTCCACCAATTGTCCCCCTTACAAGGACACCAAGTTAACAACTACCTACAAAGAAACAACATCTTCATAAGAACCAAAAATCAGGTGAGCACTCATAGTACTTGGTTTTAACTTCATATCACTGAAAAAGGCACTGAAGAGACAAAAAAAGCTTCTAAAATCATTGACTTCACCCCTCCCCCAGCCCCAGAAGTGGTGATGTGGGGCACTGAGCATCTCTGGGTACTGGGGAAGGGAAAACATAGCAATTCTGAGGCATTGAACTCAGTTCTGTTTATTTAGAACAAAAAGAAAAACCAGACCAAACTCAGCTGATGCCCACCCTTGGAGGCAGCATTTAAACCAGCCCTACCCAGAGGGGAATTGCTAATCCCAGTGGTCCTAACTTGAGTATTCACAGCCCTCACCATGGAGGGCCAAAGTGTTCTCGGTCTCTAAGTAAACTTGAAAGGCAGCCTAGCACATAAAGACTGAAAATCGTAGGCAAGTCTTAGGGCTGAACTAAGCCCTGAGACAATGGAATAGGGGGTCACGTGACATACTGAGACACCAGCTGAGGATGCCAAGGGAGTGTTGGCATTACCCCTCCCCTAACCACAGGCTGAACAGCTCACAGATCCAAACAAGGAGATGAGAGAAAAGAATGGGGAGAACTTTGTTTTACATCTTGGATACCAGCACTGTCATAGAAGGATAGGGCACTGGTGAGAGTCATGAGACCCCCATTCCAGGCCCTAGCTCCCAGACAACATTTCTGGACACATCCTGAGCCAGAAGAGAACTTGCAGCCTTGAAGGAAATGAGCCAGTTCTGCCATATTTATCACCTGAAGATTGAAGAACCCTTTGGTCCTGAATAAGCTGCAGCGATACTCAGGTGCTACATCCAGGGCTTTGATGAGCCTCTGAGGCTTTCTGGCTTCAGATTAGAAATAACACATTACCAACTGTGTTGGCTATGGGGCAAAACTCCATCTGCTTGAGAAAAGTAGAGGAAAAAGTAAAGGGGAATGTGTCTTACACTTTAGGTACCAATACCACCACAGGGGGCTAAAGCACCAAGCAGGATCTTGGGGTCCCTGATTCCAGGACTTAACTCTTGAATGGGATTTCTTGACTTTCCCTGGGCCAGAGGGAAACCCAGTGCCCTGAACGGTGAGTCTCAGGCCCGGCAGCATTTACCTCAAGCTGACTTAAGAGACCCTGGACCTTAAGGAAACACCAGTGAGAGTCTGGCAGTACTTCACATGGCCCGGGGTGGCAGTGGCTACAGTTTGAGGTTCCTCTGCTTGTGTAAATGGGAGGGAAGAGTGACTAGGACTGTGTCTTGTGGTTTGAGTGCCAGCTTAGCTCCAATCCAATAGAATGCAAGGTAGATTTCTAAGGTGTTTGACTCTAGTCCCCGTCTCCCAGATGATACTTCTGAAGCAACCTGGAGACTGCGGGACCTCATCACCCTGAAGAGAAGGACACAAGCCTAGCTGACTTTGCCACATGTTTATTGTAGAGCCCAAGGACCTTGAACAAACATAAGCAGTAACCACGGAGTGGTAACAGCAGGCCTTTGGCAAGACTCAGTGTGGTGCTATCTTCAGGTCTGACCCAATGCAGTCATAGTGGTGGTGGCCAAATAGGTGACTAAGTCACTCCACCCCCAACTTTAGGTGGTTCAGAACACACAGACAGAATCTGTATGTTTGGCAGAAAGTAAGGGGAAAGAACAAGAATCTCTGCCTCATAGTGCAGATAAATCTCCTGAATCTTCTCTAAGATCATCAAGGTAGTACTTCCACAAGACTGCAAGAACCACAGTGTTACTGGGCTTGGAGTGTACTCTAAAGCAATAAGACCTTACATTACAATGCCCAAGTCCTTTAAAATATCTCAAAAACCTTTTTAAATATGACTACAAATAAGCCTAGACAGGGAACACTATGATAAATACCTAACTCTTAAATGCCTAGATACCAAAGCCCATCTACTAACATCAATATGATCCAGTAAAACAAGACCTTACCAAATGAAATACACAGAGCACTAAGAATGAATTCTGGAGTAAATAGAAATATGTGACCTTTCAGACAGAGACTTCAAAATAGCAGTATTGAGGAAACCCAAAGGAATTCAAGATAACACAAAGCAGGAATTCAGATAAATTGATCTGTCAGATAAATTGATCAAACACATTGAAATAATTAAAATGTATCAAGAAGAATTTCTGTAATTGAAAAATGCAATTGGCATACTGAAGAATGCATCAGAGTCCTTTAAAACCAGAATGGAACAAGCAGAAGAAAAAATTATTAAGCTTGAAAACAGCCTATTTGAAAATATACAATCAGATAAAAAAAGAAAAGAATTTAAAAAATGAAACATTCTTACAGGATCTGGAAAATAGCCTCAAAAATTTATTGGCCTTAAAGAGGAGGTAGAGAAAAGTTGGGGTGGAAAGTTTATTCAAACAATAATAACTGAGAACTTTCCAAACCTAGAAGATATCGATGTCCAAGTACAAGAAGGTTATAGAACACCAAGCAGGTTTAACTCAAAGAAGACTACCTAAAGGCATTTAATAAACTCCCTAAATTCAAGGATAAAGAAAGGATCCTAAAAGCAGAATGAAAAAAAAAGAAATAAATAACATACAGCAGAGCTCCAACATGTCTGCTAGTAGACATTTCAGTGGAAACCATACAGGCCAGGAGAAAGTGGCATGAACTATCTAATGTGCTGAAGGAAAAATCTTTTACCTTAGAATAGTATATCTTGTGAAAGTATTCTTCAAATATGATAGAGGAATACACTTTCCTACACACACAAAAGATGAGGGATTTCATCAACACCAGACCTGTCTTACAAAAAAATGGTACAGGAAATGCATCAATTCAAATGAAAAAACGTTGATAAGTAATAAATAATCAGCTTAAAGTACAAAACTTACTGAGAATAGTAAGTACACAGAAAAACATAAAACATAACATCGTAACTGAGGTGTGAAAAGTACTCTATCCTAAGTAGAAAGATTAAATGATGAACCAATCAAAAACAATAACTAAAACAACTTTTCAAGATATAGAAAGCAAAATAAGATATAAATAGAAACAAAAAAAGTTAAAAAGAGAAAGGACAAAGGTAAGGCAAGTTTTTATTAGTTTTATTTTTCTTGTTTGTTTCTTTATGCAAATACTGTTAAGTTGTTATCAGGTTAAAATAATGGGGTTATAAGATAGTATTTGCAAGCCTCGTGGTAACCTCAAGCCAAAAAACGTACACTAGATACACAAAACAGCAAGAAACAAAATCATATTAGCAGAGAAAATTATCTTCACTATAGGAAGATGGGAATGAAAGAAGGAAGAAAGAGAAGACCACAAAACAACCAGAAAACAAATTTAAAAGTGGAAATAACAGGTGCTTACTTATCAATAATAACATTAAATGTAAATGGACTAAACTCTGAAATCAGAAGTCATAGGCCAAATAAATGGATAAAAAAACCAAAATGTTGCCTACAAGAAAACACTTCACCTATAAAGACACACATAGACTAAAGGGATAGAAAAAGGTATTACATGCCAATGAAATCTAAAAAGTGTAGGAGTCACTATACTTATTTCAGATAAAATACATTTCAAAACAAAAACTATAAGAGAAGACAAAGACGGTCACTATGTAATGATAATGGGGTCATTCGGTATGATAATATAACAGTTTTAAATATATATGCACCTAACACTGGAGCACCCAGCTGTATAAAGCGAATATTATGCAAATCACTCAATGTAATCTATCATATCAACAAAATGAAAAATAAAATTCACATGATCATTTCAGTTGATGCTGAAAAAGTATTTGATAAAATTCAAAATCCCTTCATCATAAAAGCCTTCAGAGAACCGGTAATAGAAGGAATATAACTCAGTGTAATGAAAGCCATGTATGACAAACAGCACATTATCATCTGAATAGGAAAAAACTAAAAGCCTTTCCTCTAAGATCTGGAAAATAACAAAGATTTTCACTGTCAACACTGTTATTCAATATCATACTGGAAGTCCTAGGTAGAGTAAGCAGACAAGAGAAAGATATAAAAGGCATCCAAATTGGAAAGGAATAAATCAAATTATCCTTGCTTGAAGGCGATATGTTATCTTACTTGGAAAAACCTAGACTCCACAGAAAAACTGTTAGAACTGATAAACATATTGAGTAATATGGCAGGATAAAAAAATCAGACAGAAAATTCTGTAGCATCTCTATATGCCAACAGTGAACAATTTAAAAAAAGGCATAAAACAGTAAACTCATTTACAATAACCACATATAAAATTAAATATTTAGGAATTAACCAAAGAATTGGATGATCTCTATAATAAAAACTATAAAATGTTAATGAAAGAAATTGAAGGAGAAAACAAAAAATGGTAAAATATTCCATGTTTGTGAATTGGAAGAATTAATATTGTTAAAATATCCATAGTACCCAAAGCAATCTATTAATTCATGCAATCTCTGTCGATATAACAATGGCATTTTTCACAGGAAAAAAATCTGAAAATTTATATGAAACCATAATAAATCCAGAATAACCAGAGCTATCCTAAGCAAAAGAAAAAAAAAATGGAGGAATCGCATTACCTTACTTCAAATTATACTACAGAGCTATAATAATAAAAACAGCATGATGCTGGCATAAAAAAAGGCACATAGAAAAATGGAACAAATTTGAGAGCCCAGAAACAAATCCACAGACCTTAACTCATTTTTTACAAAGGTGTCTAGATGCCTAGACTATGTAGTGGGGAAAAGACAGTCTCTTCAATAAATGATGCTGAGAAACCTGAATATCCACATGCAGAAGAAAAAAACTAGACCCCTATCTCTCACCATATACAAAAATCAAATCAAAATAAATTAAAGACTTGAATCTAAGGTCTCAAACCATGAAACTACTGTAAGAAAACCTTTGAGAAAATCTCCAGGTTCTTGAGCCGTATTCTGCAAGCACAGACAACCAACACAAAAATGGACAAATGGGATCATATCAAGTTAAAATGTTTCTGCAGAGCAAAATAAATCATCAACAAAGTGAAGAGACAACTCACAGAATGGAAATAAATATTTGCAAACTAAGCCTTTGACAAGGATTAATAGTCATAATATAAAACAAGCTCAAATAACTATAGGAAAAATTCTAATAATCATATGGACAAAAGATTTGAATAGACATTTCTCAAAATGAGACATACGAATGGCAAACAGGCATATAAAAAGGTGCTCAAAATCATTGATCATCAGGGAAATGCAAGTCAGAACTACAATGAGATATAATCTCACAGCAGTTAAAATGGCTTATAGGCAAAAGACAGGCATTAACGAATGCTGGCGAGAATGTGGAGAAAAGGGAACCTGTGTACATTTTTGGTGGGAATGTAAATTAGTACAACCGATATGGGGAACAGTTTGAAGTTTCCTCAAAACTAAAAATTGAGCTGCCATGTCATCCAGCGATCCCACTGCTGCATATTTACCTAAAAGAAAGGACATCATCATATTAAATAGATATCTGCAGTCTTAAGTAAGTTTGTTGCAGCACTGTTTACAATCGGTAAGATTTGGAAGCAACCTAAATGCCTATCAACAGATGAATGGATATAAAATGTGTTACATATACACAGCAGAGTACTATTCATCCATAAAAAAGAATGAGATCCAGTCATTTGCAACAACATGGAGGAAACTAGAGATCATTATGTTAAGTGAAATAAGCCCAGCACAGAAAGACAAACATTATATGTTCTCACTTGTTGTGGAATCTAAAAAAACAATTGAACTCATGAACATAAAAAGTAGAAAGATGGTTGCCAGAGCCTGTAAAGTGTAGTGGGGTGCTGGGGGCGAGGTAGGGATGGTAAATGGGAAACAAAAATAGTTAGAAATAATAATTAAAGCCTACTATTTGCTAACAAAACAGAGTGACTCTCGTCAATAATAACTGTAATATACATTTTAAAATAACTTAAATAGTGTAATTGGATTGTTTGCAACTCAATGGCTAAATGCTTGTAGTAGTGGATGCCCCATTCTTTATGATGCGCTTATTTCATTTTGCAAGCCTTTATCAAAACATCTCATGTACCCCATAAATATATGACACTACTAGGTACCCACAAAAATTAAAAATAAAAGAACACGCTTTTAAAGAAAAATTTGTTTGATGCGATTTGTAAATTTGGGAAAAAAGTGAAAAATAAAAATGGAAGATTAAGAAATGTTTAATAAATCATGCTGCTATAAAGACACATGCACACGTATGTTTATAGTGGTACTATTCACAATAGCAAAGACTTGGAACCAACCTAAATGTCCAACAATGATAGAGTGGATTAAGAAAATGTGGCACATATACACCATGGAATACTATGCAACCATAAAAAATGATGAGTTCATGTCTTTTGTAGGGACATGGATGAAACTGGAAACCATAATTTTCAGCAAACTATTGCAAGAACAAAAAACCAAACACCACATGTTCTCACTCATAGGTGGGAATTGAACAATGAGAACACATGGACACAAGAAGGGGAACATCACACACCGGGGACTGTTGTGGGGTGGGGGGCGGGGGGATGGATGGCATTAGGAGATATACCTAATGCTAAATGATGAGTTAATGGGTGCAGCACACCAACATGGCACATGTATACATATGTAACAAACCTGCACATTGTGCACATGTACCCTAAAACTTAAAGTATAATAATAAAAAAATTAAAAAAAAGAAACGTTTAAATGTAGGACTAGTTTATAGAAAATATTATTATTGTTAATTGAAAAATGAATAGCACAGTGAAAGAGTGATACAGAGAAATAAGTATGTGAATTAAAATGTTAATTAATCTGATTTTCTCAGTTCACAAAGTATACCTGTATAAAAGCACCACATTGCAATTCATAAATACATGCACTATTTGCTTGCCAATTATAGTATTATAAAATAAATCAACTAGAATGATTTCAATGTAGGCTTTTAATCTTTTTCAAGGTGCCTTGTAATGTTAGGCATAATCTAGGGTATATATGAAAAGAGATATCATGGAAAAGCAACTTTCAAATAAATGATCCTTTGTTTTACATTTTTAAAATAAATAAAATAATTTTAATTGAGAATATTTTTAAAATATTTGACTTGAAGTAAGAAATCGGTGAAGTTTGTAATAATCTGAGTAAATAGAAATAGATGGCCTCTTTATAATTAAAAAATAACTTTCATACTAGCCTCATTTATAACAACATGCCCAACTCAGATTTCTTAAAAATTTTCTCATGTAACAAAACTTCAATGAATTGCAGTTATAAAAGTAGTCATAATTCTGTATTATTAAATATGTATTACCAATATTAAAAGAGCACACAACTTCTATAAAAATTATTTTGCTTTAAGCCATCTTTAAGTGTGTGTATGCTGGCATTTTTTTTCACAGTTTTTTCATCTAACTTCAGAATGTCAACTCTGCTACTGCCTAACTGGTGACGTCTTCAAATCTCTTCCTCTCTCTGGATATGAGATAGACAAAAAAATATAATAACATCAACAAAAAGCTACATGATCTATAACATCTAAAATAAAAAAGCAATACAGTAGAGAATGAAGAAACTTTCCAAAAATACCAATAAAAATTAGCTACTCACATAAAAAATAAAACTTCATTCTCTTCACTGTACACAAGCATTAATTCGTATTAGATACTAGAACTAAATATAAAGTCTAAAGATTAAAATATTGGCCGAGTGCAGTGGCTCACGCCTGTAATCCCAGAACTTTCGGAGGTCGAAGTGGGCAGATCACCTGAGGTCAGAAGTTTGAGACTAGCCTGGCCAACATGGAGAACCCCGTCTCTACTACAAATCCAAAAATTAACTAGGTGTCATGACGGGCACCTGTAATCCCTGCCATTCAGGAGGCTGAGACAGAAGAAGCACTTGAACCTGAAAGGTAGAGTTTGCAGTGAGCCAAGATGGCGTCACTGCGCTCTAGCCTGGGCAACAGAGCAAGATGGTGTCTCCAAAATAAATAAAAAATAAATAAATAAATAAATTGGAGAAATTTTGTAACTTTCGGTTAAGCAAAAATAATGCTTAAAAAGATAAATTAGACATATGCTTCTGAGTTCTAGTTCAAGATGGCTGACTAGAAACATTAGATGCCCATCTCTTCACAAACAAGAATCAATGTTGCAAATGAGTAATTATAACTCAAATAGAATATCAAGGGAAGAGTACTGAAACCTAGTGGAGAACTCACGGGAGGAAGCTGGGACACAGACAAAGAGGAAGAGGCTGGTAAAAATTGGCTAGGATAATTGAGGGTCTCTGTATTTCATCATAGACAGGAGTGCTTTGGGTTTCCTTCCCGCTGTGGTGGACTGTATCTGAACTGCTGGAGAGCTCTTTGACCATTGTGAACACAATCATGAGTGTGGGTGGTGATTTGAGGATTCCTTGAGGGCACGGCACCATACTACTAACTGATGCTGGGTCATTTGCTCTCCCTTTAACCTGAGTGGTGGCTGCATGGCACCATACTTGGGGTTTATGTTTTGGGGACGCAGTTCTTCCCAGGGAGCCCCAGCCCTTGTTTCTCCGCATAACAGGAGACCCTGATAACATTTTCCAGCACTCACTTGGATTGCAGAAGTCACACGGAGCTGGATGGACCCACAGCAGCTGAAGTATCCCTAGTGGTCTAGCCCTCAGGGAGTACTTCTAGAACAAGGGAGAATGCAACACACCAATGGAGCACCCCTTGGAAGAAGAATAAAGAGTGTCCGCCTTCCTATGCCTGAGAACTTCCTGCTTGTGGGCTGTGAGTGATGGCACTGCCTCCAGCAGAGACATTGGTGTGGTGCTTGGCTCTTCAGTGGAGGAGTGTAATTTCATCCTACCAGCCGATAGGCCTTGATGTTCAGGCCCAGGTGTGGAGAGGGGGACTTTTCCTCCCCATTTGCCACTGGGGCTGATACCATCATGGCTGCTTTCATGGGAAGTTGGCAGAGGCACAACAAAAGATGGATTTTCTTGGGCTGTTAGGGTCTACTGTGACCCCACTGTCAGTGTAGCCATTAGGCCAAGGATGGCATGAAAGCTGGAGCCGCTGTACACACACAGAGTGACAGCATTTCTGTACTAGACAGCAGGAGAAACAGTGGACTGGAGAAGCATGAAAGCTACTCAGACACCACCTGGGGTTGATAACAGAGTGGTGGCATCACTTCTCCTGTAAGCCCAAGCTGCACAGCTCACAACTCCAAAACAGTCCTTCTGCTTGAGGAGAGGAGAGAAGTAGGAAGAACTTTGCTCTTACATGCAAACACCACCTACTAACTTGGGGATCAAACTGCACAACTCAATACAAAATCTGCTTACACTAGTGCACAGTGCTTGGGAATGAAATAAGCTTCTAAGACTTCTGCCATCCCAACACTGTGTGCCCAATGCACCATTACTACTAACAGAAAGCTAAGTATATCTATGACCAAGAAATTTATACAGATTTTTTACCACAAAACAGAAAAAACAGAACTAATGGCAAATAAAAAAGAAAAGGTGCTTCAACCTTTTTTGTTTTGTCTCCCTCAAGAATACCTATGACTCGTGGACTTAGATGTTTTATGTAATATCATAGGTCTCAAAGGCTTTGTTCTTTTTTTAATAAAATTTGTTCTTTTTAATTAAACGTAAATGGAAAAAATTTAATTAAAAAAGATGTAAATTCAAAAATAAGAAGAGGTAGTTTATACAGATGAGAAAGAAAAAGCAAAATAACTCTGGCAGCATTAATAAACCAGTGTTATGACACACAAAAAAAGGATCACACTAGCTCTCTAGAAATGGACCCTAAGCAAAATTAAATATTTTAATACCACATAAAGAATTTAAGATATTGATATTCAAGAGAAATCCAAAAACAAATACAAAGTAATCAGAAAATCAATGTGTAAATTTACCAAGTAAATGAATATAAAACAAACAAATAAACAAAAAAATTAGAACATCTGAAAATTAAAAAATATATACTGAAGCCTTAAGAATATACTAGAAAAAGCAGAAGAAAGAAACTCATAACTTGAAGACAGGTCTTTTAAATTAATTTATTCCCACAAAAATATAGAAAAAATATTAAAAATGAACAAAGCCTTTGAGAAAAATAAAATTACATGAAATACCTAAACCTGAAAATCACAGGTGTTTCTGAGAGAGCAAAATCATAAAGGCTTGAAAAACCTCTTTGAGGAAATAATTGAATAAAAGATTTCTAATCTTGCAGGAGATTTAGACATCTTGATATAAAAAGCTCAGGGAATTCCAAGTAAATACATTACAAGAAGGAATTCACAAAGACATATTGTCAACAAACTATCTAAAGTCAACATGAAGGAAAAAATTCCTAAAATCAGGAAGAGAAAAGCATCTAGTCATCTATAAAGAAAACCCGATGACACTAACAGTGAACTTCTCAACAGAAGATTTAAAAGCCAAAGGATATTGGGATTTTATTTTCAGACTTAAAAAAAAATACTGTCAACTATGAATTTTGTATCTTGCTGGAATAATCTACATGAATGAAAGAGAAATAGTCTTTACCAGATAATCAAATGCTGAGGAAATTCATCAACACTACACTGGCCATACAATAACTGTTCAAGTGAGTTCTACATGTGGAAGCAAAAGATCTATACTTATCATCCTAAAAACACACAAAAGTATAAATCTCACATCTCATAAATCAATTACTCAGATAAAACACAAAGCAACTAGATACCAAATTAATATTATGGCAGGGACAAAACTTCACATATCAATATTAACTGTAAATGTAAACAAATTAAATAAATGTTCCATTTAAAATATAGATTGGTGGCATAAATAAAAGAAAATCAATCTATATGCAACTTACGAGAAACTGGTTAAAATAATTATTGCCTGAAGGTAAAGAAGTGAAATGAGATATTTCATGCAAATGAAAACCAAAATAGCAGGAGTAGCTATGCTATTATAATAACAGGTAAAACATTTTAAATTAATAATCATAAAAAACACAAAGAAGGTTATTACATGATGATAAAGGGATGACTTCATCTAGAAGATATAACAATTCTAAATATATACGCACTCAATGAAAGAGCACCCAGATTCATAAAACAATCATTAGTAAACCTAAGAAAACAGATAGTCATACAATAATAGTGGGGGACTTCAAAACTCCACTGACAGCACTATTTAGATCACTGAGAAAGAAAATCAACCAAGAAAAACTGGACTTAAGTTGGACTTTAAGAAACTACCATCAGAGTGAACAGGCAACCTACAGAATGGGAAAAAATTTTTGCAATCTACTCATCTGACAAAGGGCTAATATCCAGAAACTACAATGAACTCAAACAAACTTACAAGAAAAAGAACAAACAACCCCATCAAAAAATGGGTGAAGGATATGAACAGACACTTCTCAAAAGAAGACATTTATGCAGCTAAAAAACACATGAAAAAATGCTCATCATCACTGGCCATCAGAGAAATGCAAATCAAAACCACAATGAGATACCATCTCACACCAGTTAGAATGGCGATCATTAAAAAGTCAGGAAACAACAGGTGCTGGAGAGGATGTGGAGAAATAGGAACACTTTTACACTGTTGGTGGGACTGTAAACTAGTTCAACCATTGTGGAAGTCAGTGTGGCGATTCCTTAGGGATCTAGAACTAGAAATACCATTTGACCCAGCCATCCCATTACTGGGTATACACCCAAAGGATTATAAACCATGCTGCTATAAAGACACATGCACACGTATGTTTATTGTGGCACTATTCACAATAGCAAAGACTTGGAACCAACCCAAATGTCCAACAACGATAGACTGGATTAAGAAAATGTGGCATATATACACCATGGAATACTATGCAGCCATAAAAAATGATGAGTTCATGTCCTTTGTAGGGACATGGATGAAGCTGGAAACCATCATTCTCTCCAAACTATCACAAGGACAAAAAACCAAATACCGCATGTTCTCACTCATAGGTGGGAATTGAACAATGAGAACACTTGGACACAGGAAGGGGAACATCACACACCGGGGCCTGTCATGGGGTGGGGGGAGTGGGGAGGGATAGCATTAGGAGATATACCTAATGTAAATGACGAGTTAATGGGTGCAGCACACCAACATGGCACATGTATACATATGTAACAAACCTGCACATTGTGCACATGTACCCTAGAACTTAAAGTATAATAAAAAAAAAAGAATAAACGCATGTATGAATGACAAAAAAAATTAAAAAATTAAAAAAACAAAATACACATCATATATGAAAGACTTAGAATAAAAAATGCAAAGTATCTTATTAATAATTTAAAATACCTGATTGCATGTTAAAATGATGGTATTTTAAATACACTGGATTACATAAAATATTAAGTTCATCTTTTTCCATTTTTTTAGCGTGACTATTAACAATTTTAAATGACAACAACAACAACAAAAAGCAAATGGACCTAATAGGAATTTTCAAAACTTTCCACTTGAAAATCACAGAAGAGACAGAGCAAGATGGTAGCATAGAAGGCTCCACCTTTTGCCCACCCCCAGAGACACTAATTTAAAAACTATTTGCACACAAAAAACTTTTATATGAACAAAAAATAAGATAACCCCTCATAGTACCTAGTTTTAACTTCGTCTCCCTGAAAAAGGTACTGAAGAGATAGAAAAAAAGTAGTCTTAGTTTGCCAATGCCACTCCTTCCCTACCCCCTGAAAGTGGCAGTGTGATGTAGAGAGCACCTCTGGATGCTAGGGGAGAGATAGCAAAACAAATGTAATGCATTGAATTCAGAGCTTTCCTGTTAGAGAAGAAAAAAATAAAAAATAACTGGACCAAACTCAATTAACACTAGCCAACAAAGGGAGCATTTAAACTAGCCCTAGCCAGGGGGGAATCATGGATCCCAGCAGTTTGAACTTGAGTTCCTGCAAACCTCAGGTAAACTTCACCACAGAGGGCTAAATTACTTTGTGCTCCAAATAAACTTGAAAGGCAGTCTAGGCCATAAGAACTGTAAGTTGTAGGTGAGTCCTGGTGCTGAACTGTGTCCAGAGACAGTGGACTGGAGAAGCATGAAAGCTACTCAGACACCACCTGGGGTCGATAACAGAGTGGTGGCATCACTCCTCCCCTAGGCCCAAGCTGCACAGCTCACAACTCCAAAACAGATCTTCTGCTTGAGGAGAGGAGAGAAGTCGGAAGAACTTTGTCTTGAATTTTGGATATCAACTTAGTTACAGCAGGATAGGACACTGGTAACAGTCATGAGGCCCCATTTCCAAGCTTTAGCTCTCAAAATAAACACCTTGGGTAGGAAGAGAACCTGCTGCCTTGAAGAAAAGGGCCCAGTCCTGGCAGCATTCACCACCTGCTAACTGAAGAACCCTGGGGTACTAGAGAACCAGCAGCAATACCCAGGTCCTATGTTGAGGACTTTGAATGAGCCTCTGAGAATTGCTTCCTTCAGGTGAGACTCAGCACATTATCACCTATGGTGGCTATGTGGAAAAACTCTGTGTGCTTGAAAATAGCAGAGAAAAGCAAAGGAAACTTTGTCTTGCACCTTACGTACCAGCATGGCAACAGAGATGTAGAGCACCAAGCAGGCTTTTGGGGTTCCTGATTCTAAGACCTGACTCTTGGATGGCATATTTGTACCTGCTGGGGGCCAGAAGGAAGCCCAAAGCCCTAAAGTGTAAGTCCTAGACCAGGAACTATTCATCACAAGCTAACTAAATAGCCCTTGGACTTTAAGGAAACATTAGAGGTAGTCTGTAGTACTGCCTATGGTGGCAGTTGCTGTAGAATGAGGCTCTTCTGCTTTTGAAAAGGGGAGGGAAGGGTTAGAAGAACTGCATCTTGTGGTGTGAGTGCCAGCTCAGCTGAAGTACAACAGAACAGACTTCTAAAGTGTTTGCCACTAGTCCTAACTCCCAGGCAGCAACTCTGCACCCACCAACCAGGGGGAACTTACTGCCCTGAAGGAAAAAGCACATGTCTGACAGGCTTTTCTACTTGCTGATTGTAGAGCCTCAGGGTCTTCAACAAACATAGACAGTAGCCAGGGAGTAGTTACAACAGACCTTGAGTAAGAAACAGTTCTGTGTTGGCTTCAGGTCTGACACAGTACAGTCATAGTGATGGTGGACACAGGGGTACTTGTTTCACTCTATTCCCAGATTTACATAGCTCAGAACAGAGAGGGGAACTCTTTTTTAAAGAAAGTAAAGAAAGAGAAAAAGAGTCTCTGTTGTATAATCCAGAGAAGTCTTCTGGATCTTTTCCAAGACCACAAAGATGGTACCACTGTGAGTCTGCAAGAATCACAGCACTACTGGGCATGAGGTGTCCCTAAACCAGATACAGGTTAGATCAGAACACCCATGTCATTTCAAATATTTCATAAGCCTACTCAAAAAAGAAGGGTACAAATAAGCTGAGAAAGTGAAGACTACAATAAATACCTAACTCTTCAATGCTCACACACTGAAGAACATATACTAGCGTCAACACAGTCCAGGAAGACATGGCCTCATCATTAAACTAAATAAGCCACAAGAGATAATTTGTGGAGAAATAGAGATATGTGACCTTTCAGACAGAGAATTCTAAATAGCTGAGTTGAGGAAAAGCAAAGAAATTCAAGATAAAACAGACAAAAAATTCAGAATTATATCAAACAAATGTAACAAAGAGACTGGAATAGTTAAAAAGAATCAAGCTGAAATTCTGCAGCTGAAAAGTGCAATTGACACACTGAAGAATGCACCAGAGTCTTAATAGTAGACTTGATCAAGCAGAAGAAAGAATAAGTGAGCTTGAGGACATCTATTTAAAAATACACAATCAAAGGAGACAAAAGAAAAAAGAATATAAAACAATAAAGCACACCTACAGGAGCCAGAAAATAGCCTCAAAGGGGAAAATCTAAGAGTTATTGGCCTGAAATAGGAGTTAGGGAAAGAGATGAGAGTAGAAAGTGTATTCAAGATGATAACAACAGAACTTCCCCAAACCTAGGGAAAGATGTTTATATCCAAGTACAAGAAGATTATAGAACACCAAGCATATTTAACCCAGGGAACATTACCTCAAAACATTTAATTATTAAACTCCCAACAGTTAAGAATAAAGACAAAATTATAAAAGTAGTAATAAAAATAATTTAAAAACATATAATTGAGCTTCAATATGTCTGGCAGAAGACTTTTCAGTGAAACTCTTACAGATCAGGATAGAGTGGCATGACATATTTAAAATGCTAAAGAAAATAAAAAATTACCATAGAATACTATATCTGGCAAAAAATATTTAAACATAGAGGGGGGATAGATTTTTTATTCAAACAAAAGCAGAGGAATTTCATCAACACCAGGCCTCTCCTGTAAGAATAAATTCTAAAGGGAGTATTTTAATGAGCAAGAACACAATGTTAATGAGCAATAAGTAATCACCTGATGGTTAAACACTCATTGGTAATAGTAAGCATACAGAATAACAAAGAATATTGTAACAATGTTCCTGTGGTGTGTAAACTACTCTTTACCATATAAAAGATTAAACAATAAATGAATCAAAAATAATAACAACTACTACTACTTTTCAAGATATAGACAGCACTATAAAATATAACTGGAAACAACAAAATGTTAAAAAGTAAGAGGACGAAGTTAAGGTGAGTTTTTTCTTAGTTTTCTTTTTACTTGTTTGTTTATGCAAATAGCATTTCATGTTAAAGTAATGGGTTGTAAGATATTATTTGCAAGCTTTAGGGTAACCTCAATCCAAAAACCTACAATGGATACAAAAAATTAAAATCAAGAAACTAAATTAAATTACCAGAAAAAAAGTATCTTCATTAGAATAAAACAGGAATGAAAGAAAGAAGGAAGAGAAGACCACAAATAACAAATAACAAAATGGAAGATGCAAGCTTTTATTTATGAATAATAACATTGAATTTAAATGGACTAAACTCTTCAACCAAAAAACTTATACTGGCTGAATGGACGAAAAAAGAAGACCCATTAATCTGATTCTACAAGAAACAAACTTCACCTCCAAAAAAAACACAGACCAAAAGTAAAGAGATGGAAAAAGATTTTTTATGCCATTAGAAACCAAAGAAGAACAGGAGTAGCTAAACGTAGATGAAATAAATTTCAAGGTAAAAACTAACAGAAGGGGCAAAGTGGATCACTATATAATATTAAAAATGTAAATTTTTAAAAAAGATATAATAATTTTAAATATATATGCACCTAACACTGGAGCACCCAGTTATATAAGGCAAATATTATTTGAATTAAAGAGAGAGATAGACCCCACTACGGTAATAACTGAAAACTTCAAACCCCACTTTCAGCATTGTGCAGATCTTTCAGAAGGAAAATTGACAAAAAGAATCATTCTTAATCTGCACAATAGGCCAAATGGATATAATAAATATTTACATAACATTTTATCAAATGGCTGAGAATACACATTATTTTTATCATCACATAAATTATTCTCACAGCTAAACTATATGTTAGTTTACAAAGTAATCTCAAAACATTTTTTAAAAATGAAATAATATTAAGTGCCTTCTCTGACCACAATGGAATAAAACTGGAAATTAATAACCAGAGAAAATTTTTAAATTATAAAAATACATGGTAATTAAACATTATGCTCCTGCATGAGCACTGGGTAAATGAAGAAATTAAGATGAAAATTGAAAAAAATTTTGAAACAAGTGATAATGGAAACACTATGTACCAAAACCTATGAAATATAGAAAGGCCATGCTATGAAGGAAATTTAATCTTATAAGTACCTACATCAAAAACAGAGGAAAAATTTCAAATAAGCAATCTAAAAATGCGTCTTAAAGATATAGAAAAGCTAGAGCAAACCAAACCCGAAATTATCAGGGGAAAAGAAATAATAAAAATACAAGCTGACATAAATAAAATTGAAACAAGAAAACCAATACAAAAGATAAGTGAAGCAAAAAGTTGGTTTTCTGAAAAGCTAAACAAAAGTGAGAAACCTTTAGCCAGATTAATTTTTTTAAAGGAGAAAATACAAATAAATAAAATCAGAAATGAAAAATGAGGCATTAAAACTAATTCTGCAGAAATTCAAAGGATCATTTGTGGCTACTATAAGCAACTATATACCATTATATTGCAAAACTAAGAAGAAATGGGAAAATTCCTAGACACATAAAACCTGCCAAAATTGAACCAGCAAGAAGATCAAAACATAAACAGACCAATAACAAGTAATAAGATTGAAGTCATAATAAATGTCTCTCAGTAAAGAAAAACCCAGGACACAATGGTTTTGCTATTAAATTCTAGCAAACTTTTAAAGAACTAATACCTATGTTACTTAAACTATTATTTCAAAAAATAAAAGAGGAAGAAATACTTTCAAACTCATTCTAGGAGGCCAGTATTAACCTGACATAAAAACCAGAAAAAAACAAATCCAAAATCAAAGTACAGGACAATGTCTTTGATGAATAATGATGCAGAAGTCTTCCACAAAATATTAGCAAACCGAATTCATCAGTACATTAGAAAGATAATTTATTATGACCAAATGGGATTTATTCCTACAATGCAAGGATGGTTCCGCATATGCAAATTAATCAATGTAATCCATTATTTAAACAGAATGAAAGATAAAAACCCTATGATAATTTCAATTGATGCTGAAAAAGCATTTAATAAATTTCAACATCCTTTATGATGAATCTCTCAAAAATCTGAGGATAAGAAGAATGTGCCTCAACGTAATAAAAGCCACGTATGACAAACCCACAACAAGTACCACAATGAGTGGGGAATAACTGAAATCTTTTCCTCTAAGATCCAGAAAATGGTGAGGATTCTCACTTTAACTACTGTTATAAAATTTAGTAATGGAAGACTTGGCTAGCAAAATTAGATAAGAGAAATAAATAAGGGACATCCAAATTGGAATGAAAGAAATCAAATTATCCAAATTATCCTTTTTTTTTGCAGATTATATGATATTATACTTGGAAAATGGTAAAGAATCTACAGAAAATATTAGAAATGATAAAAAATTCATAAAAACTGATAAAGATGCAGGATACAAAATCATCATAGAAAAATTAGTAGCGTTTCTATATGCCAACAGTGAACAATCTGAAAAAAATAAGAAAAGTAATTCCGTTTACAATAGCCACAAACATAATTCAACACCTGGGAATTAGCCAAAAAGTGAAAGATCTCTGTAATAACATCTATAAACCACTGATAAATTGAATAGGAAACAAAAAATGGCAAAATATTTTATTTTCATTAATTGAAACAATCAATATTGTTAAATGTTCATACTACCCCAAGCAATCCACAGATTCAATACAATCTGTATCAATATACTAATGGCATTCTTCACAGAAATGGGAAAAATACATATATAATTTATATGAAACTACAAAAGACCCAGAATTCACAAGGCTTTCCTAAGCAAAAGAACAAAACTGGAGGAATCAAATTATTTGACTTCAAATTATACTACAGAGCTGTAGTAACCACAACAGCGGGGTACTGGTATCTCAATAGTCACATAGACCAATCAAAAAGAATAGAGAACCCAGAAACAAATCCACACATTTACAGTGAACTCATATACAATAGATGTGTCAAAAACATATACAGGGAAAAAATAGTCTCTTCAGTTAGTGGTGGTGAAAAAAATGGATATTTATATGCAGAAGAATGAAACTGCACCCATATCTCTTGCCATATGCAAAAATCAAATCGAAATTGGTTTGAGACTTAAATGTAAGACATTTAAGTATGAAACTGCTACCCAAATGCTTTGGGAAAAATCTTCAGGACATTAGTTTGTGCAAAAAATTTCTTGACCTATATCCCCCAGGCACAGACAACCAAAGCAAAAATAGACAAATGAAATCAAATCAAATTAAAAAGCTTCTGCACAACAAAGTAAATAATCAACAAAGTGAATAGACAATTGACAGAGTGGGAGAAAATATTTGCAAATTACCCATTTGACAAGGAATTAATAACCACAATGTATAAGGAGCTCGAACAACTCTATAGGAAAAAATAATCTAATAATCCCATTAAAAAAATAACCAAAAGATTTGAATAGAAATTTCTGAAAACAAAGACATGCAACTGGCAAATAGATGATATAAAAAAGTGCTCGATATAATTGATAATCAGAGAAATAAAATCAAAACTACAATGAGATATCATCTCACCCCATTTAAAATGGCTTATATTCAAAATATAGGAAATAGCAAATGCTGCTGAGGATGTGGAGAAAAGGAAATCCTCATACACTGCTGGTGGGAATGTAAATTACTACCACCACTTTGGGGAACAGTTTAGATGTTCCTCAAAATCTAAATATTGAGCTACTGTATGATCCAACCGTCCCACTGCTGAGTAATAACCCCCCAAAAGGAAATCAGTATATCAAAGCGACATCTGCACTTTTATGTTTGTTGCAGCACTGTTTACAATACATAAGATTTGGAAGCAACCCAAGTGTCAATCAAGGGGTTTATGGATTTAAAAAGTATGTTACATGTACATAATGGAGTAGGATTCAGCCATAAAAATGAGATTCAGTCATTTGCAACAACATGGATAAAACTGGAGATCATTAGTTTAAGTCAAATACAGAAAGAAAAAATATTATATGTTCTCACTTATCCATGGGTCCAAAATCAAAACAATCAAACTCATGAACATAGAAAGTAAAAAGATTGTTACTGCAGGCTTGGAAGCTTTGTAGGAGGCTGGAGGGAAGGTGATGATAATTAGTGGGTACAAAAAATAGAATGAAGAAGACTTACTATTTGGTAGTACCAACGGATGACTGTAATTATAACTTAACTGTGCATTTTACAGTAAACAAAAAGTGTAATTGAATTATTTGTAACATGAAGGATAAAATGCTTAAGGAGATCAATACTCCATTCCCCATGATGTAATTATTTCACATTTATGCATGTATCAAAGCATCTCATGTACTCCATAAATATATGCACTTACTATGTAACCACAAAAATTTTAAAAATATATTTGTAAAAGAAAATTATAAAATATACATTTTTTCATCAGACATAAAACATTCTCCAAGGTAGACCATGTGTTAGGCTACAAAATAAGCTTTCATAAATTTTTAAAAACTCAAAATTATTTCAATTATTTGCTTAAATGATAGGGGACTAAACCTAAAAATCAATATAGTAAAAAACTCTCAAAATTATACATATGTATTGGAATTAAAACCACTTTTTGAAAACAATTTTTTGATCAATGACCAAATTTATATAAAAATTAAAAAACTTTCCGATATGAATAAAAATAGAGTTACAACATATCAAAACCTCTGAGATCCAACAAAATAATTTATAGAAAGTTTACAGAGCTAAATGCCTACTTGAAAAAAAACATTGAAAGATCACAAATTAATGACATAGCTTGAATTGTAAGGAATTAGAAAAACAATGACAAACCAAACCCAAATCTAACAGAAAATAAGAAATAACAAATGTCAGAACAGAACTCAATAAAAATGAGACCAAAAAAAAGGATCAACAAAATGAAAAGTTTCTTTTTTGAAATATAAGTTAAATAAATTGATTGCTAGCCAGGCTATTAAAGAAAAGAAGAGAGAAGACTCAAATATACACCCTTAGAAATAAAAAAGAAGACATTAAAACTGATATGACAGAAATACAAAAGATCACAGATACTACTATGAACAACTCTATATCCACAAACTAGAAAACCTAGAGGAAATATATATATTCCTAGAAATATAAAACCTTCAAAGACTGATACAGGAAGAAATAGAAATCCCAAGCATGGTAATAATGACTAGTGAGATTGAATCACTATTAAAAAAAAAAAAAACTCAACAACAACAGCAACAAAAACCCAGGACCAAATAATTTCACAGATGAATACTGCCAGATGTACAAATAACTGGTACCAACCCTACTATCAATGTTTTTAAAAATTGAAGCGAAAGAAGTCCTCTCGTACTCATTCTGTGAAGCCCATATCACCCAGATACCAAAATCAGGCAAGGACACAAGTTAAGAAAAGTAAAGTACAGGCCAATATCCCCGATAAGCATAGATGCAAATTTCAACAAACTACTAGCTAATCAAGTTCAACAACACATCAAGAAACAATACACCACCATAAAGTGAGCTTTATTCCAGAGATGAAAGGATGGTTCGACATATGCAAATCTTTAAAGGAGATTTACAGCATAAGCATAAATTTCTAAAAACCCAGTATGATTCTTAAAGTAGATGAAGAAAAAAAAAACTAACAAAGTCAGCATCTGTTCATGAAAGAAACTCTCAACAACGTAAGTATAAAGGAAACATATCTCAAAATAACAAAAACCATATGTGACCAATCTACAGCCAAAATTATACTGATTGTGGAAAAGTTGAATACATTCCACCTACAAACTGAAATAAGATGAGGATGCCCCTTTCACTCTTTTTGTTAGAGATAGTACTGGGAGTCATAGCCAGACCAATCAGACAAGAGATAGAAACAAAAGGTATTCTAATTGGAAAAAAGAATTTCAAATTATCTGTTTGTTGATGCTATGTTCTTATACCTAGAAGACACTAAAATTTCTTTCTAGACTCCTAGATTTGATAAATGTGTTTAATTAAGCTTCAGTATATAAAATTAATATAAAAACCAGTAGCATTTGTGTTCACCAATTTGAGAACCAAATTAAGTAACTTTCATTTACAATAGCTACAAAGAAATTTAATATGTATAAATATATTAAACCCAGGAGTTGAAGGATCTCTACAAGAAAAACTACAAAACACAATTGAAATAAATTGTAGATTAAACCAAAAACTGGGAAAATATTCAATGCTTATGTACTGGAAGAATTAATATTGTTAAAATGACCATACTGCCCAAAGCAATCTATGAATTAAATTCAATCTTATCAAAATACCAACATCATATTTTTACATAACTGGAAAAAAAATCTTAATATTTATGTGGAACTAAAAATATGTCCCAATAGCCAAAGCAATACTTAGCAAAAAGAATAAAGCTGAAGAAATGACATTACTTCACACCAAATTATACTACAAGATTATAGTCATCAAAATATCATATTACTGGTATAAAAATATACACATAGATCAATGAAAGAGAGTATAGAATCCACATAAAACTACATACATACAGCAAATTGACTTCTGACAAAGTCAACAAAGACATACCCTCTGGAAAGACACCTATTTAATAAATGACGCTGTAAATATTGTAGGGCCATATGCAGAAAAATGAAATTGGACATCTATTTCTCACTATATACAAAAATCAACTCAACATGGTTAAATATAAAATCTGTAACCATATAAATTCTAGACGTAAACAGAAATACCTCTTCTTGATGTTGCCCTAGGCAAATAATTTATTACTATGATTCCAAAGCAAAGACAAAAAGAGAAGCTAAAACAGAAATGGGACTTAATTAAACTAAAAAAAATTCTGCACAAAGAAGTAATTAAGAGAGTAAACAGGCAGTTCACAAAATGCAATAAATTATTTACAAATTATGCATCCAAGACTAATATCCAGAATGTACAAGGATCTCAAAGAGTTAAACAAGAAAAACAAACAAATAAAACAAAATAATGCCATTAAAAATAGGCAAAGGACATGAACAAATATTTTTTTCAAAAGATGACACACAAATGGCCAATGCAGATATGAAAAAATGCCCAATATCACTAATGATTAGAATAATGCAATTTAAAACCACCATGAAATACCATCTTACACCCGTCAGAATAGCTATTATTAAAAAGTCAAATAATAAAATGTTGGCAGGGATGTAGAGAAAAGGTTCTGCACATACGCTATTGGTGGAAATGTAAACTAAAACAGCCTTTATGAAAAAAACAGTATAGAGATTTCTCAAAAAAGTAACAACAGAGTTACCATTTAATCCAGCAATTCTAATGTGTATATACTCAAAGGGATATAAACAATTATATCAAAAAGACACCTTCACTTCTAAGTGTATTGCAACTCTTTACAATATCAAATATGTGGCATAAAGCTAACAGTTCATCAACGGATGAGAAGAATAAAATCTTGTCTTTTGCAACAATGTAAATAAAGTTGAAGGCTGTTATCTGAAGTGAAATAACTCAGAAAGCCAAATATAAGAGGGAGCTAAAAATGTGTATACACGGACATAGAGAGTGGAGTAATAGACAATGAAGACTTAGACACGCTGGGTTATGAGAAGGAGGAGAGGAATAAAAAAATTATGTAATAGGTAAAATGTACACTATTAAGATGATGGTTACAAAAATGACCAGAGTTCACAAATATACAATATATCCATGTAACAAAATTGCATGTGTACCTCAAAAATCTATCGTCTATCTATCTATCAATCATCTGTCTATATATATATGCCTTTTGCATGAACAATAAAACAATCAAGAGAGTACAGAGACAATCTACGGAGTGGGAGAAAATACTTGCATATCATCTGATAAGGGGTTAATATTCAAAATATATAAGAAAGTCAAATAACTCAATAATTTTAAAAATACCTTGATTAAAAAATAGTCAAATGGTTTGAAGAGACAATTCTCAAAGGAAAATATACAAATAGAAAGGAGATATGTTTAAAATTATACAGTATCACCAATCACCATAGAAATGTTCATTGAAACCACAATGAGAGGCCACCGGTAAACCAAAAATAAAATTCTAAGCCACCCTTAACCATCTGAAAGTACATCCTCCTCAGCTAGTGCACTCCAAAATGTAACCTGAAAGACTGGTTCAGGTCATGACAGGAAGTGGAAGCCAGACATGCCTCATTATACTCTCCAGCATTAACATCAACACAGAACTTAAATCTGATAAGAAACATTTACAATCTATTATTTCTGAAGCCTGCTACTTGGAGGCTTCATCTGCATGATGAAACTTTGATTTCCATAACCTCTTATTGTAACCCAGGCATTCCTTTTTATTGATAATAACTCTTTCAACCAATTGTCAATCAAAATAATTTTAAATTTATCTATAACCTACAACCCCCCACTTTGAGTTGTCCCACCTTTCTATACGGAGCCTATGTGTATCTTAAATGTATTTGATTGATGTTTCATGTCTCCCTAAAAGGTGTAAAACCAAGCTGCGCCCTCACAACCTTGGGCAAACATTCTCAGGATCTCCTGAGGGCTGTGTCACAGGCCATGATCACTCATATTTGGCTCAGAATAAATCTCTTTCACTACTTTACAGAATTTGACTTTTTTGTTAAAAATAATTTCACACCTAACGAGGGGCCTAAGAGAAGACTCAAGATCCTGAGGGAGTTGCCCAAACATTGAGCTAAGGTACCAGCAGGGGACTATTGAAAACCTCCCTAACTTTGAGCTTTTCTGCTGGTGAAACTTGTAAGTCTTCCTGAGCCCAGAACCTCCCTTTGATTGATGCGCCTTGATTTATTCTGAGCTGTTTTTATTTTTTCTTCCTAGGAAGTTGTTCTTTAGGATCCTAATTCGAGTTTGGAGATGGATTCTACAGGGTCTTCTCCATTGATTTTGTTTATCTAAAGACAAGGAGAGCGACCTCCTTTCTGTACCCTATTGCTAGTTAAGAAGTGCATTCTAAAGGGTCTTTTTCATTACTTTTTCTCTCTAAATTAATCTTGATTTGGCTTTTCTGTGCATTTGCATAAGGAACGGAACTGTTGTTTTTATAGATAAATGAGAGACTGAGTTTTCTCAGCTCCAGAGAAAATGAAATTTTGCTCCTTTCAGCTGAAAGGCACCCCTGGGTGACCAGAGCCTGAGTGGGAGTGTCGGGGAGGCTGACCCCTTATTACACGAAGCAACCCCACAGGGAACCCCCAATAAAATTAATTTAGAAAGGCTTGTTCAGGAAAACCATATAGGAGCTGGTCACTACATGCTTTGAGCCCTCCTGGAGGTGCTAGACCTTCTGAGAGAGAAACTGAGACACATAAGAGGGTAGGAACAAATCAGTGATGACACACTGTGGAGGACTGCCCACAACCAGCACACTTCAAGCCCCCACACTAAAACCCCAGGCTATATATATTTCCTTTTAGTTTTTTTATTATTATTATTTCTCTCCTTTTGTCACTGGTGGAAGGTATCTGAGTTACAGGCAGTGAATTTGTACAGATCTGAAGCAACCTCAATTCTTGCCTCCTCAGAAGTAAGAATTCAACTAAGGGGCATAAGGCAGAAACAGGGACTGAAGCAAGTATCAGAGCAGGAGTGGAAGTTTATTTAAAAAGGCTTTAGAACAGGACAAAAAGCGAAAGAAAAAGAAGCTTGGAAGAGACTCAAGTGGGCATGTGAAGGTCAAGTGCAATTTTTAACCTTGATCCCAGGACTTTATAGGCTGGCCTCTTTTCCATGATTCTTCCCTTAGGGTGCACTGCCCACACGTGCAGTGCTTTCTTTATGTTTGGAAAGTGAGCAAACTCAATGTGTTTAGGAAGTTATACATATGTCCATCTGAGGCTTTCTTTCCTTTTCCAGTGGAATGCTCCCATGAGGTCATACTTCACCTCTTTCTCTCTTAATGCACGTGCCTGGGAAGTTCCTTCTCTCTGAAGTCTGCATTTAGTTAACACTTCAGTGCAATAGGTGTGGACCATCAGGAAATGGCCTCTTCCCAGTGCTCTTGGAGGAACAGAGCTGAGAAAGCACGCAGTTTCCTGGGCCTGATAAGCAGACACAACTGGAAGGCAAAAACAGATCAACAAAAATCAAGTGTCCCATTTTACAACTATTTTACCAGCATTTCACTGCAAAGTAATCCAAAGTCAATCAACCAATTCTGTGATTAGCCTATCCCCCATGGAAGTCTTATCTCTCAGCGCAGGGTGGGGATGTTTTTATACCTTCCAGTTGGCCAAGAGCATGCTTCTCTGATCCAAATGTGCAAAGAGCTGGGTATTCCTCCATAACTGCCATTAGCCATCCATATAAATATATTTACTACCTAGTTATTACCAAAGTTCTCTCATAATGCAAAGTAATTTCTGATACTCTCAAAAGTCAAAAACTTCAGGTAATTCAAAGCACACAGAACACAGCCTTAGATTTTGAAAGGTATCTATTTACTTTTAATTCCTGGGGTCCCATAAGGAAAACACTTTTTTTTCCAAAATGGGGTCTGTGGTTCCCCTGTGTTTTTGCCAAGGAGTCACAAGCTGGTAGTAATTATCTTGGTTCCTCTGATGTGTGCATCAAGAGTGGCAAGAAAATAAAACAGAATAAAACAATTCAGTCAACAGAGGAAAAAAATATTCAAAAACTAAGATTCAAGAAGAAAAAAAAACAAAAGGCTTTTAAATTTTATATAGCTTGGATATCCACTTTTAATTAAGCTGGCTTTTAACCATAGAGCTCTTAAGAAAATCCTTTCAAATCTCTTATTACCTGACTTTAGCCTGGCCCAAAAGCCAATATTTCCGGCTTTACCAAAGTAAACTCATAGATTAAACCAATAAGCCTTAACTAAGGTTATGACTTATCCATGAGTGTATGAGGTATTTTCAAAGAGGTGTTAAGTAGATTTTACAGGATTTAGAGTCCACAAAGGTAACTCTGATAAAGGAAAATTCAAGAAGGGAAGTCAGAAGTCATTCGTGGAGGAGCAGAGAATATAGTGATTTTTTTTTTATCATTCCTACAACTGGTTTGCACAGAGGGACAGAAGCCAGGAGTGTGACAGGTAAGAATTTTTACCCTTTTGTTGGCATGCCAGGCATCTTGGTTTCCTTTCCCTGAGCAGCCCTAGTAACCTTGCTTGCCACAGCCTGGGGAATAAATCACAACACAGAGGAAAATTATCTTTTTCTGTTTCGTATATCCTTTTAATAAGAAAAAAGCCATTTTAATTCTGTTAGAAAGTTAAGGTTTGTACTGCATGTTGCCATGCATGTCCTGTGAAGGGGGAGTAGATAAAGAGGTTATCTACATACTGTAGAAGTTTTTCCCTCTCAAGAGACTGCTTAGTTAGATTTTTGCTGGAACTTATCTGAACATGTGTGTGATATTTTAGAAATTACCAGGGACTGGTGGAAGAATGTCAACTGGTCCCTTAAGTAATACAAAGGGGTGTGAATCTTTTATTTTGGAGGAAGGAGATTCCATTTGCCATACTCAACAGGCTTAACCCTGTCCTCCTATTCTACTTTTAGTTATAAAAGACTTAAGAGGCTAATCTGAGGACCTCTTGCCCAGGAGTACTAGGATCCAAGGCTAAATTTTGTAATTTTTTCTCAGTACATTTTTAAGCCAAGCACTTTAAGGTTTGGGAAAGATAATCTTGTCCCACTTTTGAGGAATGCATTCAAAAGAGGCATCTCCTGTGGTATGTAGATATTATTACACATATGCCATTTGCAAAGAGAACGGAGGAGAAAAAAGAGAAAAAAATGAAAAAGAATGCATTGCCCCTTTCTTTCTATTATTCTGGATGAGGTATCCCCTATCATCCTGGATTCTGGACTTAACCAGTCTTTATCTTGTACCCTTGGTCCCATCTCATCACAATTACTCACTTGAGAACAGAAGAGTTACTGTAGTGAACAGTGGGTCTTTGCTCTTTCCTGGGGTTCCAGAATTAACATGTCCTTACTGGGTACTCCCCTCGCCTTTCATTACTGTTCCAATGGTAATCTGTTAGCCTGGGGCCATCTTTCATCTCTGTCTTGTATGTCTATTACATCTGTGTCCTTGGACCAACCTATATTCTTGTATCCATGACCTTATAGTAACCCTCATTCAGAGTATTTTAGTAATGAAATGATTATCTCTTTTTTGTAGAAGTCTATTTCTCTGTTAACTGCCAGAAGTCCTGGACTTCCTTTGCCCCTCTGTTAGAAAATGACCTAGAAAGTCTTGATGAGCATTGAGAAGGATGTGGAAGTAATTAGAGAAATTGAAGGTATATGAGGAAGTGGAAGGAAGCCCAAGGAATAATTATTGAAAGACTTCATATGCGCACAAAAACTGCAGCTCTTGGATTCAAGAGGGTAATGTTTATTTGTCCTCTGGACATAAAACAGTAATCGCTAAGGTCTTATGGCTTGGAGTAAGAATTTCTCCTTTTCTCAAAGTTGTGCTAGCTTAAAAAACAAGAGGTTTGGATTCTTAAAGGGCCATAGCAAAGCCCTATGCAGACAGAGAAGCTGCTTTTAGAAGCCATCAGAAAACTTAGCCCTGGGGTGTAACAAGAATAGAAAGCACGTGGTGAGTTGTAAGAAGCTGGCAGAGCCAGAGTTTCAATTAGTGTCTGTCCAGGCCATGTGCCAGCAGGCAGAGTAAAAACTGAAGGTCACTCAAGCTGGCAAAAACAAATACAAACCTCAGGGGATATCCACAAGGGAGCCTGTGCCTTCGTTGCTGCACAAACACAGAGAGCCACGGGCATGTGAATAACAGGGAGTGTGTGTTTAAAAAGTCACATGGTATGCAAAGTGAAAGCAAAGAGGCAGGCTTGCTCCCAAGGTGGGAGGTCCTGCAGGTGCACAAAATCATTTTAGAACACACACACACACAGAAAACAGGAGAATAGACAGTGCATGTTTTTGGAAAAGAGCCAATTTTAAGTGGAAAGAAAAAGCAGAGAAAACCCTAGACATCATAAGGTTTTTAGGCCTTAGCTTCACCCCTCTTATGAGCCTCTTGTCTAGGAGGAAATTAAGTGCCTCCAATCTGCTCAATGTGGACCCTGAAGTCATTCCCACCCTGAGATGCCACCCATCGAAGTGAGCTGTGAAATCAGTGATGGGGAGCAGAGTCAGTTATGGCCAAGAGGAATTATTCTGGGGGTTGGTTAGTAAGCAGAAGAGAGATGGAGAGGAAAAATCATGCATGGGAGTCAAATGTCTCCAGACAAAGGAGGCTACACATAGAGATCTCTTATTGCTAGGGAATGCATCTGAGTCATGTTGCAGCAACTATGTTGCTGGTGGAAGGTATCCGAGGAAGAAGGTAACCTAAATTCTGCCTCTTCAGATTAAAAGAATTTAACTGAGGGGAATATGGCAGAAAAAGAGACCAAGACAAGTTTCAGTAAAGGAGTGAAAGTGACAGGAGGCAGCCAAATGCCTAGGCAGAGAGGGACAGGTACCCAGTGAAACCCCACCTCCAAGCCAAAGAAAGTTTAAAGCCTGAAAGCCAAGCAACAAGTTAGATCCTTGGACTGGATTGAGAATTTTTCCTTTTGTTTGGCATGCTTTCTTCTGATTGATCCCCACACTTCACCTATTTGACATATACCTACCCTTTCCTAATTGGTTTTCTACACTGTAGTGTTCACCTTTGAGTGGTGTTTTCACTTTAACTGTTTTGCATACTCACAAACCAATCAGCACGCCTTCCCCATCCTGTCCATATAAAGACCCCAAACTCAGTCACTACAGGGAGAGACAACCTGACTTCAGGGAAGAGACAATCTAATTTTGGGGAAGATGACCTGCCCTTCCCATCCTCTCTTCAGCTCCCCTCTTCATGGAAAGCAATTTTCATCACTCAATAAAATTCTCCACCTTCACCATTCTTCAACTGTCCAGGTGACCTCATTCTTCTTGGACACAAGACAAGAGATCAGGATCCATCAAGTGTGGGTACCCAGAAAGGCTGTCACACTGGCCCTTTGCCCTCAATGGCAGAGAGCAGTTGTCCCACACAATGAGGTAAAGGGGCCTACTGAGATGCTAACACAATGCCATTCACCAACGGTGGAACTAAAGGAGCACTGTCACACCACCTCTGGGGATTCAGGGTTGTGGGCATCCTCACATGGGCATCACCATATTCCCCTGAAGGCAACATGCCTGGTCTAGCCATGGGCCCTGCACAGAGCTTGTTTTTGTGTTGGTGCCCAGAGAAACCAATCAGATCCCACACTCTCATTCATGTGCTTTCTCCCACAAGGGACTGAGCATGGTGGGCTGAGTAGAGGCAACACCCTTCCCATGAGCTCAGCAAAGGGGCTGAGAAAATTCCTGAATCATCTGGGAGCTCACTCAGGATTTGTCAGAAGGGTAATTGAATGTGGACCAGACACTTCACTTTTTTTTCCAAAACTTCTTGTCCTCAGACTTTCCTCTGAATGCAGATGAAGTACTGAACCTCTGACTAGCCAGTTGAAAGTGAATGGAACAGTTACAGAGGACAGGATGTGACCCTACCAACTCTCTCTTGGGTTAAAGGAATGTTGGCTTTGTTTCCCTTCGTGGAGGTCTAGCCATCACATGGGACAGGAATGAGGTCCTAGGGCAACTGAATGCATCTGGTTGAGGCCACTTCTCAATGTTGCTGGAAGGCTCCTAGACTTCACTCCATCCCAATCACCCATAGGTCATCAGCCAAGAACCCCAGATTTGTATGGTATTTTTTTTTCCTTATTTCATGGTTTGAAATGGTTCCTATGTCTTCTTTCATAATGTTAAAAATATTGCTGCAAACTGAAGAAATATTACTGGGTAGAATGAGCATTTGGCCCAGCCATCAGATTTGTGATTCAGAATCTATTCTTAGAGGCAAGGAGGGCACAGTGATCAAGAGTCTTTCCCCTGTTGAAGAAACCCATTTGCAAAGAGCAAGAGGCTTTTCACCCCAGGCTCCTTCCCGCCCCTGCACTTAAACTGTTTTACTGTTTTTTTTTTCTTTCCTTTTCTCTACCATGTCAGGAGTTCACATAGCCCTGCAAATACAGGGAACTTTTCTATACAAGAGCTTTTTTTTTTTTTTTGAAAAGCATCTTACTAGGCCATACACCAATTCATGGGACTTCCTAACCTAAAGAGTCCATGCACCCTCCTGAGACACCTTTTTGTCCCGAACTCAATTGCAAGCGTCTGCTTGAAGCCCTAGGAAGGAAAAAACTAGATCTGAGGGATCCAAAGCCAGGCAACAACAAAAGTCAAGGTGCCCAGCACAGGTGAGCATGATTAATTACTGCTGATTAGCCACCCCCATTTCATAGATGGAGGTTATGCTAGTATCCATGGCATAAATGAGGTTTGGGGAATTAAAAGGTTACCTGCAGCATGAGGGACGGAAAGCACACAAGTGAGTGCAGATAATCCCTACCCACTAGGTCTCCTGTTAACATGGGTGAAAGCCACATTGGAACCCATGGGCACCACACAGCTGAGGTCATCAGGACTTGGATGAAAGAAGGGGGATGCCTTTTCTTTCTCTCCCTTGTGTGCCCCAGGTATTTTCTGGGAAGAGAAATAGGGATACATTTTTTTCCCTCTTTCAAGATGGATAACCAATCATCTTCAGTCTGTATTTCTCATGGATGCCTCCTAAAATACTGGGAATCCTTTGAATAAAACAAGACATTCTTTTTTCCTTTTTTTCTCCTCTGTTGTTTCTCTGCAGATGTTTAATTGTGTCCCCTGTACCCTAAGACAATCCCCTCAGATGCATTCCCCAAACTAGGAAAAGTTACTTTCCCCAAACCTTAAACTTCTTGGCTTAAGATTGAGCTTTAGGAAAGGGAACCCAGAAGCCTGGCATGCTGGCAAAAGGGTAAAGGTTTTTTGTTTGTTTGTTTGTTTTGTTTTGTTTTCTCCAGTCAGACTTCTGGCCTCTCTGTCTCCGTGCAAACCAGTAAAAGTAATGGTAAAGACTACTGTAAAGTTTTGAAAAAACTTGATGATATCTCCATGTTGTTTTAGGTTTTTTGGAACTTGGCCTTGTAACCACGTGGCAGTACTTTCTTTTGGTCTTTGCCATTTTACAATGGTGTTCTGGGTTCAAAAGTGGCTTAGGGAATGAGCACTTTCTGGTTAATATTTGTGTAAATTTTATTATTTGCTGATTCTCTTCCTCTTCATGAACAACTTCTAGCTTCCTTTCTTGAATCTTTCTTTCTCTGAGCTACCTTTAAAGATTCTAGGTTTTGTAAAATGTGCTTATCACCTCTTTGAAAATACCTCATATACTCACAATTAAGTTATAACCTTAGTTGAGGCTTATTAGTTTTATCTGTGAGGTTACTTTTGGTAAAGTTCAAAAGCCAGGAATTTTGGCCACTTTGCATGGCTAAGGTTGGGTAACAAGCTATTTAAACGGATTCTCTCTTTTTTTTTTTTGGAGACAGAGTCTTGCTTGTTCTCCCAAGTTGGAGTGCAATGGTACCATCCCAACTCACTGCAACCTCTGCCTCCCAGGTTCAAGCGATTCTCCTGCCTCAGTCTCCCAAGTGGCTGGGATTACAGGCAGACAGCATCATGCCTGCCTTTTTTTTTTTTGTATTTTTTGTAGAGATGAGGTTTCACCATGTTGGCCAGACTATTCTCAAATTTCTGAACTCAGGTGATCTGTCTGTTTCCACCTCCCAAAGTGCTGGGATTACAGGTGTGAGCCACCACACCTGGCCTAAAAGGATTTTCTTAAAGAGTGCTATGGTTAAAAGTCAGCTCAATTAAATTTGGATATCCAAGCTATAGGTATATTTAAAAAGCCTTTCTTTTTTTCTTCATGAATCTTGTTTTTCTGAAAAAAGGTTTTTTCTCAGTTGACTAAATTGTTGATCTTCATTTTGACTTGCCACTCTTAATGCATGCATCTGAGGCCCTAAGATAACTTCTCAGAGCATGGGACTCTATGTGAAAACGGAGAATATGCCACAGGCTCCATTTTGAGGAAAAAAATTCCTGTTTTTCTAATGAAACCCCAGGAACTAAAAGCAAATAGATCCCTCTCAAATTATATTTTTGTCATCCAGATATATGTGATGATTAGACCCTAGAAACTGCATGTTTTCCTAGCCCTGCCTCTTGAAGCACTCCACCCTGAGACCAGCAATCCAATTAGGAGATCAGCAAATGAAGAATCTTACAACTACTGGATCTTCGTCTGTCTTTCCAAGTAGTTATATGTGTGTTATATTTGTTCTAATTAATTGGCCGAGAAAAAATAAGTCCTTAGCACAAATTTGTTTTGAAGAAAAGATAAAAGGTGTGGCACCTTTTAGTTCACATGACCTTAATCTTTGAAAAATAAAAACAGTTTTAAATATTATTGGTAAAATACAAATGTCTTCAAAATGTAAATATGTGGTCTAAATTATACAGTTTAGATATTAGGTTTCCTAAATGTTTTAAGGTCATAGACTGCTTTTATAGTTTTTGAGCCCTGATTGACTTGCTTGCTTTACAATTTGGTAAGGTCTGGGGAAATATGAAATTAACCATACTCCTAATTTTGTTTGATACACAGGGCCCCTGGAACATCCAAAATGGAGGTAAACAGTATTATTTGACACATTTGACATGTTTACATGGAATTGCCAAAATAAAAAATCTGTGTTATATATATGTATATATATATGCACACACATATATATACACATATATACATATATTTAATTTTCTTCACATAATGTTTTAGTGAATAATATTAATATATGTTTCAAAATTGTATGAGATTGCTAAAATTCTATTGTCTGAGTATATGCTATCAATCATAATTAAGGATATTATGTTAAGGTATTGTAAGCCACAGAAATAACCAAGTTTCCTTGTCAATTGTGTTTTTGACTGTAACTACCCTGGATATTTTGTTATTCCTGAATTGATGTCTTGCTTTGATCCTTTTGAAAAGATGGCTTGCAAATCAGCTATAGAACTTTGACAGGTGACCTTAAATGCAGGTTTATGATAACTTTGGAGATTGTGATATTGGAATATCAAGCAGAACAAAAACTGAACAGAACACCGAAGTGATATTTTTTAACTTTTTTCTTAAAACATTTCTGATCTTTATTTTGTTTTTTCAGAGTCAAGGGAGCTTTTATTTTGAGCTATTTACAGCCTTTAATAGTTGAGTAAAGTATACTCCTGCGAACAAAATTTGGAGCATATTTGTTTCTCTCTGCTTGACTTCTCCAGAATTTGGAAACTATGAGTATTCTTAACTTATGGCAATATAGTTTGCATTGGTGCAATAAGAATCCATTTTCTTCTGCAAAAGACACAATTGGAGAAACCGTTTGTTTTACCAAAGCTTTGAGTGGAAGGGAGTGCTTAACTTTAAGGAATCAAGCTTGACTTGCAGAGCCAATAAGCGCCCCTTGGGAAAACTGGCCTGATACTTTGTCTATGCAGTCCCCGTACAGCGTTCCTAACCTATTTTGAGTAAAGAATGTCACTTTGTAACAGGCCCAGGAGCCTCATATTCTTGGGACCTCAAGAAGAGAGTAATTTACCCAAATCAAAGGTATTTGAGGGCACAAATCCATTGCTGGGCTTGGCTTTAGAAAATCTTGTGTGGGTTTTTTTTGGTGGAACAGAGTTTCATCAAGGCCAATTTTAAAAGCCTATGTGAAAATAATTATTCTTGCTGCACTTTATGCAAATAACCAGGCCAAGGATAAAACTAAAATGTATTTTGCAAACAACTCAGTCCTATCATGATTTGTTTTTAAGAAAAGTGAGAACTTCAGAGAGAAAAATTATGTTTCAAAAATTATTATGCACTTATTAAATTCTAGTCTCATTAGTTGTTTCTAAGTTTTCACCTACATTTTAGACTAATCCTGATTATTTTTGTGAACCAACTAATGATCTCTGGCTGCAGCTCAGTAGAAACCAAAGAAATGGGTAATGTAAAAATCTGGATAAATATTCTTGTGCTGGGCATTATCCGGAAAACACTGCCAGGTGATAGGAGTAAATAGGGTGGTCATGACCCAGAGGTTTCTTTGGGAAAATAAGACCAAGGGAGCTAGCAAAAGCCGAGCCCAATGCATCCAAATCTTAGCAGATATAACTATAGCCACCAGTTATCTGGGCATGTTGGCAGCCCTGGGATTTATTAGTAGTCCTTACCCCCTTGTTTTGTTATGATATATATCTTATAACCTGAATTGCTTCTTCTCACTGAGAGGCCATCAAACTCAAAATGATCATGTAACTGGAGCTTCAGGCAATAGCTTTCTTTTACCAGAGATCCTTAGATAGGCTCCTGAGGGAAATCTAACTTCTCTTTTCCCAAAACAGCGCCCTCTGCTAGCAGGAACTGGTAAATATCAGTCTTAATGCCTATTCTAATGGCATTTTGACATACCTGTTCAGATGGGGGGAAAATAGCACCAAGAGGTAGCCAAATGCCTAGGTACATAGGGGTGGTTACCTGGTGAAACCCCACCTCCAAGCTGAAGACAGTTTAAAGCCTGAAAGCCAAACTACAAGTTAAATCATCTGACTAGATTGAGCACTTGTCTTCTTATTTGTCATGATTTTCTCTGATTGATCCCCACACTTTACCTATTTTACATATACTTACCCTTTTCTACTTGGTTTTCTACACTGTCATGCCCATCTTTGAGTGGTGTTTTCACTTTAACCTTTTTTGCATACTCACAAATGAATCAGCATGCACTCTCCATCCTATGCCTATAAAGACCCCAGACTCAGTAAGTGGAGGGAAAGATGACCTGACTTTGGGGAAGAGACAACCTGACTTTGGGAAATACGACCTGTCTTTCCTGTCCCCTCTCTATCTCCCTTTTTCACTGAGAGCTGTTTTTATTGCTCAAAATTTCTCCACCTTAAGCATCCTTCAACAATCCATGTGATCTCATTCTTCTTGGATTCCAGATAAGAGCTCAGGACCCACTGAGTGTGGGTACCCAGAAATGCTGTCACACCAGCCCTTTGCCCTTGTGGGTGAAGGTAAGCTGCCCAATGCAATGAGGCAAGGGGCCAACTGAGCTGCTAACACAATCTTGTCTGTGGATAAAGGAACTAAAGAAGCAATGTCACACACTCTCTGGGGATTCAGGGTCATGGGCATCCTCACATTGGCATCACTCCACTCCTCTTGAGGTGACACACATGGTCTGGCTGTGGTCCCCACACAGAGCTTGCTCCAGTGTCAGTGCCTGGAGTGGCCAGCCGGATCCTGCACTCACACATGCCAGATCTGACTGCAAGCCCTGCATGGAGCTTGTTCCTGTGTCAGTGCCTGAAGTGACCAGCCTGATCCCACACTTGCTCACCCATGTGCTACCTTCTGTAAGAGGTTGAACAAGGTGGGCCAAGTAGAGAGGATGTCCCTGCCATGAGTCCAGTGAAGGGGCTGAGAAAAATCTTGCATCATCCGTTTACTTAAAATGTCTTTAGAACAGAAAAGAAAAAAAAGCACACTTGGAAGAGACCCCAGTGGACATGTGAAAGTCAAGTGCAATGTTTAATCTTGATTCTAGGACTTTATAGGCTGGCCCCTTTCTCATGATTCTTGCCTTAGTGTGGGCTGTCTGCATGTGCAGTGCCTTTTTTATGCTTGAGAGGTGAGCACACGCAGTGTATTTAGGAAGCTGTACACATGCCCATCTGAGGCTTTTTTCCCTTTTCCAGTGTAGTGGTCTTGGAAAATCATACTCTGCCATTCTCTCTCTTAATGTGCATGACCGGGAAGTTGCTTCCCTCTGGTGACTGCATTCAATTAACACTTTAGTGCAACAGGTATTGAGAATCAGGAAATGGCCTCTCCCTGGTGCCAGCTGCCAATTTATCACTTTTAAAGAGGTAATGCAATAAATGCAAAACCATCACCCAACATTCCTAGTGGGTGGATGAAAGCCCTCTCTACCCCACTCATGCCTGTCTAACTATCTGCAACAGTATGACCTTGTTCTTTTTGAGAAAGTTTTTCTTTAATAGTCTTTAACGGCCTGAGATTTTTTTAAAGAAAATAGAGAAGGCTCCACCTTCTCTCTTTGGAGGAGAAACTTCTTCATTTTCAGTATCTAACCCAAGATTAACTGTATCTGGGACTACAGGCACCTGCCACGACTCCCAGCTAATTTTTGCATTTTCAGTAGATTCAGGGTTTCACCATGTTGCCCAGGCTGGTCTCAAATTCCTGACCTCAAATGAACTTGAGAGAGATGATTTAGGGTATCTGGCTGAATAAATTTCTAAGCAGCAAATCATTCAAAAGGTAACTTGGGTGCTGTTGAAGGCATTCAGTTTTAAATGGGAAATGCAGCATAAAACTTCAGAAAATTTGCAGCCTGACAATTTGATAAAAAAGAAAACCCCATTTTCTGAGGGAAATTCAAGCCAGCTGCAGAAATTTGCATAAGTAACGAGGAGCTGAATGTTACTTCTAAAGACAATGAAAAAAAGTGTCTCAGGCCATGTCAGAAACTTTCACGGCAGCCCTTCCCATCCAGGCCTAGAGGCCTAGGAGGAAAAACTGGTTTCATGTGCTGGGACTAGGGTCCCCACTCTGTGTGCAGCCTAGGAACTTGGTGTCTTGTGTCCCAGCCACTGCAGCCACGGCTTAAAAGGGCCAACATAGAGCTCAGGTCATTGCTTCAAAGGATACAAACCTCAAGTCTTGGTAGCTTCCACATGGTGTCAGCCTGTAAGTGCAAAGAAGTCGTGAACTGTGTTTGGAATCCTTTGCCTAGATTTCAGAGGATGTATAGAAATCCCTGGGAGCCCAGGCAGAAGTTTGCTGCAAGGTGGGGTCCTCATGGAGAATCTCTGCAAGGGCAGTGCAGAAGGGAAATGTGGGGCCAGAGCCCCCACACAGAGTCCCCACTGGCCACTGCCTAGTTGAGCTATGAGAGGAAAGCCACCATCCTTCAGAACCCAGAATGCTAAATCCACTGACAGCTTGTGCTGTTTGCCTGAAAAAGCTGCAGACACTCAAGGACATCCCATATAAACATCTGAGAGGCTGTACCCTAGAAAGCCACAGGGGTGGAGCTGCCCAAGACCATGGGAATCCACCTCTTGCATCAGCATGACCTGGATATGAGAGATGGAGTCAAAGGAAATCATTTTGGAGCTTTAAATTTGACTGCCCTGCTGGATTTTGGACTTGCATGGGACTTGTGACCCATTTGGAACAGCTGTATTTAACCAATGTCTGTACCCCATTGTATCTAGGAAGTAACTAACATGCTTTAAATTTTACAGGGTCATAGGTGGAAGGTACTTGCCTCATCTCAGATGAGACTTTGGACTGTGGACTTTTGAGTTAATTCTGAAATGAGTTAAGACTTTGGAGGACTCTTGGGAAGACATGATTTGTTTTGAAATGTGAGGCCATGAGATTTGGGAGGGGGCAGGGGCAGAATGATATGATTTGGCTGTGTCCCCACCCAAATCTTATCTTAAATTGTAACTCTTACAATTCCCACATGTTGTGAAAGGAACCCAGTGGGAGGTCATTGAATCATGAGTGTGGGTCGTTCCCATGCTTTTCTCATGATAGTGAATAAGTCTCATGAGATCTGATGTTTTAAAAATGGGAGGTTCCCTGCACAAGCTCTTTATTTTTGCCTGCTGCCATCCATGTAAGATGTGAATTGCTCCTCCTTGCCTTCCACCTTGATTGTGAGGCCTCCCCAGCCACATGGAACTGTAAGTCCAATTAAACCTATTTTTTTGTGAATTGCCCAGTCTCAGGTATGTCTTTATCAACAGCACAAAAACAGACTAATACACCAACCATCAAGAATTTTCTGCTTCCACAGAATTAAAAGAAAATATTTACTGACAGAATAAAGATACCTTGTGACCAAAGCCTCCTAAGTATAATACTCCCAGTTATTAATTTTAAAGATAAGTATATTTTTTAAAAAATCAAAATTTTTTCTTAGAACAATGCTTATGTTTTGTATAAATAATTGCTATAAATCTATAACTAAAACCAAGCTTATAGTAACTCAATGCATAGAAGTTAAAAATAAGTCGGTTTTGTAGCTTTGCCTTTGGCTTTTTTTTTGTTGGTTTTCTACTTAAATGATATTAATAATAATAATAATTGTAAGGGGTAATGAATGCTTGTCCATGTTCAGTCCTATCTCATCTAGAACAATTACTTAGCTGTAAGTCTTGTTGACTAAGTCCCTTGGCTAAAAGAAGTCTCTCCAATGGACCAGATGTCCCTGAGGCAGGCAGCCATGTCACTCTGGCAATGCTATGGGAAAAAAAAATAAATTTGTGTGGCCATTTGTATTGCTTCTGGCAAATCTTGGCCAGAAGTGGGAGAATGTAAACCAAAAATAAAATTTTAAGGACCGCAACCATCTGAATGGACTTCCTACTTGGCAAGGGCCCTCCAAAATTTAACCTGAAAGACTGATTCAGGCCATGATGGAAAATGGGGGTTGGATATACCTCATTATACCCTCGAGTATTAACATCAACACAGACCTTAAGTTTATTAAGAAACATTTATGATCTTTTCACCCTGAAGCCTACTTGGATGCTTCATCTGCATACTAAAATTTGGTCTCCAAAACCTCTTTTTGTAACCCAGGCATTTCTTTCTATTGATAATAACCTTTTCAACAAATTGCCAATCAGAAAAATTTTAAATCTACCTATAACCTTGAAGGTCCCTCTTTCAATTGTCCTGCATTTCTGAATTGAACCAATGTATATTTTAAATGTCTTTGACTGATATCTCATGGATTCCTAAAATGAATAAAACCAAGCTGCACTCTGACCACCTGGGTACATGTCCTCCGGATCTCCTGAGGGCTGTGTCACAAGCCATCGTCACTCACATTTAGCTCAGAATAAATCTCTTCAAATATTTTATAGAGTTTGACTATTTTTATCAACATGCCTCAATTGCTGCAATGGCTATTATAAAAAAGACCAATGATAACAAGTGCTAGTAAAGGTATAGAGAAAAGAAACCCTTGCACACTGTTGGTGGGAATTTACATTTCAACAGCCATAATGGAAACTTTATGAATGTTTTTTTAAAAATAAATACAGCGTCCATGCACGGTGACTAATGCCTGTGATCCCAGCACTTTGGGAGGTCAAGGTGGAATGATCACTTGAGCCCAGGAGTTTAAGATCAGCCTGGGAAACATAGAAAGATCCCATCTCTACAAAAAAATTAAAAGATTAGCCAAACATGGTGGCTCATGTCTGTGGTCCCAACTGTTCCTGTATAAAACTGATGGTCAGGCTTCTTATAATTATGGCCCAATAACAAGACGCAGATGAACTGGAAAAGAAGAGAGTTTATTTCTTCAACCAAGTACAGGGAGAAGGCTGGGAAAATATTACCAGACCAACTCAAAATTACAAAGTTTTCCAGTGCTTATATACCTTCTAAGCTGTATGTCTACGTGTAAGTGTGCATTCATCTAAAGACGTGATTAATTTCATTTATTAAAGGTAAGTATTTCTAGTGATGAATACATTAATTAGTATTAGAATACATTAATTGATTGATTTAATACTCCACATTGTATACATTCATCATAACATTGCATTGTTCCTTGTAAAAATATGCAATTACCATTTTCCATTACAATAAAATAAGCAAAAGTAAATAAAAATAAACATTTCTTATTTTTATGTAAATAAAAATGAATCAGATGAGTGGGTAAATAGTGTTATACCCATGCTATTGAATACTCATTAGAAAGAAGAAAAATGAATGAACTACAGCTACATGCAACAATATGTATAAATCTCAAGCTGAGTGAAAAAAGCAAGACCATAAAAGCAAATAATGTATGATTGCAGTAGTAATTTTATACAAAATGCAAGTAGATTTTTGGTTGCCTAAGGATGGGAGGGGTAAGAAGTGGATGTGGGAGTAAAGGTTAGGGGGTGAGATTAAAAAGTGGCCCCCAAAATTTGCGAGGTCATGGCAATACACATTTTCTTAAATGTGGCAATGGCCTCACAGATGTATATATAACGTCAAACATACTTAATTTTATATTTTAAATATGCACAATTTATTTTGTGCTATTTATACTACGATAAATCACCTAAACATTTAGAAAAGTGGAAATGTTATTAAGTGCCTATGTCCCATGAACTGAACTAGATGTTAGTATATGTATTTTCTTATTTGAAATCCAGCTATTGCTAGGGTTACAAGAGACTTCCTCACAAGAGGTAGCCTGAACTTTCAAATGCACATTATTTTCTTTGATAATCACCACTTCTATTGCCAAAAGAGTAACATTATGCAATGCTAAAAAACTTCTGAGTTTGTTTAAAAAAATGAGAAAACATACCCTTTTTTCAAAATTGACTTTTCCAACCTAGTATATATTTTTTGGAGAAGGAGGGCTTTCACATTTAGGATTTTATTTAGAGTGACTTAAAATGTGTGTTTTGATTGATAAATGAAAACCAGAAGCATAATTTTTCCGAATGCTGCACATAAAATTTTAGTGGAAAAGCTATGCCAATATTAAATACAAACCTGATTAAAACTTGTGTATCACTGATTTCCACGCAAAAGTATTGATTGATTGAGAAATTACCATGTGAAAGTCCTCATGTAGAGAGCTGAAATAAAATTTATTTTCTAATCCATATTTATTTATATATTTTGTCCTGAAGAAGACAAAGTTTATATGTGGTTGTGCCTTTAAAAAAATTTCTCAAATGCTCCATCACCTCTCTAGATGATTGGATGTCAGTAATCAATAATTTTCAGAAAGTAAATCTACTCAAACAACTCATCTCTTTTTGAATAATTTTGAAGTTTTATTCTAAAATCTTATTTTATACCCAGTAGATCTTGCACTTTGGGGCATTACTATTAATAAACAAGCAGTGTCATACACACATTCAAAGTGAATATAATCTTCGTATAAAATAGTGCAGAATAAGAGTAAAATCCATAATATATTGGAGTATTTCAATTCTCTGTTTTGATATTGTTGAGGCCTCCCTCTCTTCATAAGTCTTTGTTCTGTCAGCATTACAAGTAATCCAAGCATTACTAAAGAAGTGAAATTGACAAATCAATCGTTAAGAGCCTATATGTGTGGCTCAATTTTAAGAATATATTTTTGAACTTCAGTTCTTTTACTTCAAATATATTGTATTTCATGACTTGGAAGTATAACATTTGTTTTTTAAATCTTGCCCTGTTTCTAATAATGAGACCTATGAAATTAAACCTAATTTTTTTGTAAAATGCTGTAATGTATTTGATTATCTCAGCTAAACAGTTTAAAAACATATATTTTATTATAATTTTATTTACTAAAACTATGTACAGTCTTTCTATAGTCACAATATTCCTGAAATTAATAAAATTGAAATATTATGCATACCAAACTATGCATAAAATTTGGTCACCCAAAAAGTATGCAATATGATTTTCTTAGTCCTTTAGCTTGTTGAAATTTTCACTTTTTAAAAATTCAATTGTACAAAGATAATAGAATCAGGTATGCAATTGCAAAACTCAACTTGTGATCCTGGTTTATTTAATATGAAAAAGTTAATGTTGAAAAGGAAAGTGTATATCTTGACCACTGTACAACTGGTGTGAAGGTTTTGTTGTTGTTGTTGTTGTTGTTGTTGTTGTTGTTGTTGTTGTTTTGAGTCGAAGTCTTGCTCTATCGCCCAGGCTGGAGGTGCAGTGACATGATCTCGGTTCACCGCAACCTACGCCGCTCGGGTTCAAGCGATTCTCCTGCCTCAGCTTCTTGAGTAGCTGGAACTACAGGAGCGCGCCACTGCACCTGGCTAATTTTTTTGTATTTTTAGTAGAGATGGGGTTTCACCATGTTGGCCAGGCTAGTCTTGAACTCCTGCCCTCAGGTGATCCGCCCTCCTCGGCCTCGCAAAGTGCTGAGATTACAGGCGTGAGCCACCGCGCCCTGCCTCACTTTGGAGTTTAAAAGAAAAAAAGGCGTCCTGGGTATCCACTACATAGAAAGCATTTTTTTTTCTAGGCAGTGTGAACAGCACTGGGAGCTATACATAGTTGTCAGGGTCTCACAGTCTACTGGGTATGCCAAAACCATATATAATCAATTTTAAACAAGCTGTACTGTAATAAGTGATGGAACAGAGGATCAAATAATATACTTTGAACTGCGAGGAAAGGGAGAAATTAATTTCTAGCTGATGAGAAAAATTTCTGAGAACTTTCATGGGACATAAAATTTGAGTTATTTATAAATAGGTAGGATTTCAATTAGTAAGTATAAACTGTGAGTGGTAGAGATCTTTTCACTATTATTCTGCATTTGCTATATAATTTTCCAGACTCACTCTTTTCATTTATATATATATCTGATATATATATATATCTGATATATATATATCTGATATATATATGAGATATATATATCTGATATATATATGAGATATATATATCTGATATATATATGATATATATATATCTGATATATATATGATGATATATATATGAGATATATATCTGATATATATATGATATATATATATCTGATATATATATATCTGATATATATATGATATATATATATATATATCTGATATATATCAGATATATCCAATCTGAGGCAGGAGAATCACTTGAACCCGAGCGGCGTAGGTTGCGGTGAACCGAGATCATGTCACTGCACCTCCAGCCTGGGCGATAGAGCAAGACTTTGACTCAAAACAACAACAACAACAACAACAAAACCTTCACACCAGTTGTACAGTGGTCAAGATATACACTTTCCTTTTCAACATTAACTTTTTCATATTAAATAAACCAGGATCACAAGTTGAGTTTTGCAATTGCATACCTGATTCTATTATCTTTGTAAAATTGAACTTTAAAAAAGTGAAAATTTCAACAAGCTAAAGGATATATATATATATATATATATATATATATATATATATATATATATATCAGAACTTTCAAAATAATTAGAGAAAGGGAGGTGAAGGTGAAGCATTGGAGGGTGGAGGGCAGGCAGCCCAGCATGTGCAGTCAAATTCTCCCTTTCTCACACAAATAGAATGTATCCACTGCCAAGATAACTAATCCTGAAATTTCTTTTTTTACGGTATTTTTTAAAGTTGCTGTGATTATCAATTACTTATGTTAAACACAGTTCCTACATCCCCACCTTCCTTTGAATCTCGTTTCTGGTTACAGGTTCTCCTGAAATATCTCTATTTTGTATTAGAGACCTGTGTGGTCAGTATTTAGAGGAAAAAGTTTCCAAAGTGGGACACACTCGTAATTTTAGTGAAAGGTCAGAAAATGTGGTTCTCATAAAAATAACATAAAAAATTATTTTCCCTTCCTCCTCCACAAAGGATGTCTGGAAAGAATGCTATATTCTAATCAATTATAACCTGACTGCATGAGATAATGGCTTGTAAACAGAAGGATAATCTACCTAGAGATTAGAAAAAAAGAGAACCAGTATCATGCCGTCTTAGTTACTATAAACTTGTAGTATAGTTTGAAGTGAGGTAGCTTGATGTCTCCAGCTTTGTTCTTTTTGCTTAGGAGTCCCTTGGCTATTCAGGCTTTTTTTTTGGTTCCATATAAAATTTTAAATAGTTTTTTCTCTAGATCTCTGAAGAATTTTAATGGTAATTTAATAGGAATAGCGTTAAATCTATAAATTGCTTTGGGCAGTATGGCCATTTTAATGATACTTTTTCTTTCTATTTATGAGTATAGAATGTTTGTTTATTTGTGTTATCTCTGATTTCTTTGAGCAGTGGTTTGTAGTTCTCCTTGTAGAAATCTTTCACCTCCTGATATGGTTTGGATTTGTGTCCCCACCCAAACTTCATGTCAAATTTTAATCCCCAGTGTTGAAGAAGGGGCCTGGAGGGGGGTGATTGGATCATGGGGGTGTACTTTCCCCCTTGCTGTTCTCATGATAGCGAGTGAGTGCTCATGAGATCTGCTTGTTTACAAGCATGTAGCACTTCTCCCTTGGCTCTCTTCCTCCTGCTTCAGCCATGTAAGACATGCCTCCTTTCTCTTCTCCTTCTGCCATAATTGCAGGTTTTCTGAGGCCTCCCCTGCCCAGCTTCCTATAAAGCCTGTGGAACCATCAGCCAAATAAACCTCTTTTCTTTATAAATTATCCAGTCTCTGGTCCTATCTGCTTACATGGTATACATGAAAGTAAACATGGCTGCCTACAATTCCCCGATTATGTACCCTACAATTAGAGGTGACATTTAAAGTATTTAACCACCAATCAGAATAGATGGGTTTCTTTCATAACACTGATAGACATTTGACCTGGGCAACCACATTGATTCTAGTCCAGGATTTCAGAGAAAGGGTGGCCTGAATCTCAGTCTCAAACCCAAAAACCTTAGGACACAAATTTATTGGCCAAGTGCCAATATGAATCAAGTGCCCATGTCTGGACAGATTAACTGTGGTACAAAGAAGAGTCATACAATAGCACAACTTCAACATGCAGATGGAAAAGGAGGGTCATTCCTAGAAAATGAGTCCTCATCAGAAAATCTCTCAGATACTTACTACAAACATCTAAGTGTGAGCTCAGGAGAGACACCAGCTTTTGGGAACCATCAGCATGTGGGTGGAATGATGTCATGGGAGAAGATGAAGCTCATTTAGGGAAGATGTGTATGGATGAAAGAGAAGGCTAAAGAAAAAGAGCTTTAATGTCTAAAATTATGAAATTTGGCAGAAAAAAAAGTCACCTTGAGGGGGACTCAGAAAGAATGACCAAAGGGGTTGGAGGCACACCAAAATAATACGTAGAGAATATATTGTCAGGAAGCCAGAGAAACAAAAGGATTCAAGATGACACTTCATGTAAAAGGTTGCAGAAAAATTAAATGCCCTTCTGAATCCGCAAGAAGAGGACTTTGGAAGCTAAAATAAGAGCAATTTCAACAAAATTGCAGAGACACGAGCAAGAATGTTGAGGGTGGATTTGTGAGTAGGAAGTGTGAGAATGGGTACAGTATGTAACTATCATACTCAGAAGAAGCTGGAATCCCTAAAATGCACAAAAATATTTTTGCATATGTAGATATACGACTAGTGAGATTTGACACAGCTCTGTGATTGTTTTTATTTACAGTTCTTGATACCCTGAATATAAATTTCTTTTTCTGGACCATGTTTTATGCAAATATGGGCTTCCCAGGCTTATGATCATTATGAATATGGATTTTTTCATACCAAAGCAATATAAACTATGGAAAAGTATGTAAGTAAAATCATAAAATGTCCATTAAAGATCATAATGTTATTACCATAAAAATATCACCCAGTCTAAGGTAGTTACTTGCATAAATGCAAGAACAGTTAGCTAGTTAGCTGTATTCCTGTGTATTTAATGCTTTTTGTGGCAACTGTGAATGGAAGTTCCTTTCTGGTTTGCCTCCTGGCTTGACTGTAGACCAGTGGAACAGAATAGAGCCCAGAAATAAGACCACACACCTACAACTATCTGATCTTCAACAAACCTTGCAAAAAGCAAGCAATGGGAAAAGGAATCACTATTCAATAAATGGTCATTACAGAAATACAAATCAAAACCACAATGAGAAACCATCTCGCACCATTCAGAATGGCTATTACTAAAAAGTCAAAAAATAACAGATGCTGGCAAGGTTGTGGGAAAAAGGAACACTTACACACTGTTGGTGAGAATGTAAATTAGATCAACCATTGTGGAAGACAGTGTGGTGATTCCTCAAAGACCTAAAGACAGAAACACCATTTGACTCCATAATCCCATTACTGAGTATAAACCAAAGGAATATAAATCATTTCATTATGAAGACACATGAACATGTTTGTTCATTGCAGAGCAATTCACCATAGCAAAGCCATGGAATTAACCTAAATGCCCATCAGTGATAGACTCAACAAGGAAGAATATGGTACATATACACCATGGAATACTATGCAGCTGTAAAAAGAAAGAGATCATGTCCTTTGCATGGACATGGATGGAGCCATAGGCCATTATTCTAAGCAAACGCAGGAACAGAAAACCAAACACTACATGTTCTCATTTAAAAGTAGGAGCAAAATGATGAGAACACATGCACACATAAAGGGAAACAACACACATTGGGGCCTATTGGAGGGGGGAGGGTGGAGGAGGGAAAGCATCAGGAAAAATAACTAATAGGTACTAGGCTTAATACCTGAGTGATGAAATAATCTGTACAACAAACCCCCGTGACAAAAGTTTACCTATGTAACAAGTCTGCACTTGTCCCCCTGAACTTAAAAGCTAGATAAATAAAAACATTTTACAAAGTGAAGCAAAAGGACAGATTTCTATAGTATATCTTCATTATCAGAGACCCAGAAGGAAATATCTCCACAGTAAACAGTAATCCAAGTGGCATTATTTAATAAAATCTCCTTTAAGCCAACCTCTTTGTTTTTATTCCAGGCTCATCAAATTTTTGTTCTAATTTGTTCTCCCAAGTAAATTTATCCATAGAAAAGTGTGCAGATAAAACCAATACTAGTTACATTACCAATTTATGTCTTCTAAAGTAAATAAATCAGTACTCTGTTTTTGTAGTCTATTCCATCTGAGTTTGATTAATATGTCACCTCTAAGTAAAAATATAAAAGCTGAAAATTAAACCCAAGGCTCTTGGGAGGCACCATAGCCCAATGGTTAAAAGACTAAATGATTTTATAAGAACAAGGTCTTTGAATGTCTCACTATTGGATCCGAAGTGCCCTGAAAATTCTAAATGTTCTGTAATACTTATTAAATGAATCAATCACTTAATAAATAATAATCTTGGGTATTAATATCCCTTGACAACTTAATCCTGTGAGACTCTGGGCAAATTACCTACTATGCTAAACTTTCATTTCCTCAACTGAAAAGTGCTGCCTTACAGGGTAAATGAGATGCTACAGGTAACTTCTGTAATTATATTTGGCATATCTTAATTACACTAAAAATGTTAATTCTGTTACTGATAATAGTAGCTGTAGTTGTTTTAATATTAATAATGGCATTAGAGGACATAACCCACAAAGCTGCTGATATTCAGGGGCCCAATTGGGCAACTAGTCATAGTGTTAATATATCTCTTTTAGCACAACAGTGTATAACATGCTCCATATCCACATCATCACTATTCAATCAGCACAGATAAAAAGAATAAAGTCATTGAAAAATATGCCACCAGAATGAGCAAAAGCTACAGTGTCTATCAGTGAAGGAAGATGAGCGAAGTGTTCTGGCCATTTTCTCACTGCATAGTGTAGACCCTTCCAAAAGTACCTGTAGACTGAATTTAACATTTTTCACTTTTCTGATTCCATTAATGTTCAAAGTAGAGTTCTTATCTCTTACAGTTTTTGTGAAGTATTTATAAAAATATACATGAAAATTGCTGCCAGAGGGCCTGTCATATAGCAAGTACTCCATAAATATTAACTACTGGTAGTTTCCATTTATGTAATCTTCAGAACAGTCTTAAAAATTAGTGCCATTATTTTCTTTATTTTACAAATTTAGAAACACGAAAGGTCATTAATTCATACAGTCAGTAACTGTCATAGTCAGAATTCATATACATGTCTACCTGACATCTTTTCACAGTTTATTCATTACAATGACTACCTCCCATAAAGAACACTCATAAGATAATCTGATTCACACTGTAATATGAGTATCTGATTGCATTGCCTCAGCCAGGGAAATTTTAATTTTTGGTATCTTAACATCTTCACTGAACACACACCTTCCACCTCCCACCAGACTTTTATCCTTGTGTAAACTTTTCCCCATAGATAAAAACTTATTTTAGATAAATACCCAGTGATGAGATTGTTGGGTCACATGATCTGTGTGATGGTTAATATTGAGTGTCAACTTGATTGGATTGAAAGATGCAAAGTATTCTTGCTAGTCGTGTCTGTGAGGGTGTTACCAAAGGAGATTAACATTTGAGTCAGTGGACTAGGAGAGGCAGACCCATGCTCAATCTGGGTGGGCACCATCTAATCAGCTGCCAGCAAGGCTAGAATAAAGGAGATAGATGAAAGCGGAATGAGCACACTTGCTCAGTCTTCCAGCCTTCATCTTTCTCTCTTGCTGGATGCTTCCTGCCCTTGAATATCACACTCTGAATTCTTCAGCTTTTGGACTCTTGGACTTAAACCAGTGGTTTAAGCCAGTGACTTAAACCAGGGGCTCTGGGTCCTTTGGCCGCAGATTGAAGGCTGCACTGTCAGCTTCCTTACTTTTGAGGTTTTGGGATTCGAACTGGCTTCCTTGCTCCTCAGCTTGCAGATGGCCTTTTGTGAGACTTCACCTTGTGATCGTGTGAGTCAATACTCCTTAATAAACTCCTCTTTATATATACATCTATCTTATTTGTTCTGTCCCTCTAGAGAACCCTAACACAATCAGTGTATATTTTATGTCATAAGAAACTGCCAAAATATTTCCAAAGCAGCTTTATTTCCTGAAAACAATATATAAGGGTGTCAGTTTCTCCACATCCTCCCTAACATTTAATATTTTCAGTGTGTTGTTGTGGTGGTGGTGGTTGTTTTATTTTGGCCATTCTAGCTTGCATAATGCAATGTTTCATTATGGTTTTAATTGTATTTTCCTAATGAATAATGATGTTGAACACATTTTGATTTGCTTATTTGCCATAAATATATCTTTGGCTCATTTAAAAAATTGTTTTTTTTCACTTTGCATTGAATGTAAGAGGTATTTATATATTCTGGATACAAGTTATTTATCAGGTATATGTTTTGACACTTTTTTTTCTGCTGTGTGGCCTTTCCATTACCTTAATATTGCTTTTTCAAAAAGCAGAAATTTAAAATTGTGATAAAATTTAATTTTTCAATTTTTAATTTTATATTTTGTTTTTGAGGTTTGAAGAAATATTTGCCTAGCCCCAAATCACAAATATTACACTACCTTTGAGATATTTCACAGAACTAGACAAACCAATTTTAAAATTCATATGGAACCAAAAAAGAGTCCAAATAGCCAAGGCAATTCTAAACAAATGGTGCAAAGCTTGAGACAACATGCTGCCTGACTTAAAACTACACTACAAGGCTACAGTAACCAAAACATATTTCCCTATAGAAGTGTTTTCTTAAGCTGAAATATATTTATTAACTCATTTTATAGTTTTAACACACTGATATACTAAAGTCTTAATAAAATTGTCTAAAAGTATAAAACTAATGAGTAGCTGAGCCAAGATTTGAAACTAGTAATGGTTCTTTTTTTAAAAAAAATGTATTTTAGGTTCAGTGATACATGTGCAGGTTTGTCATGTAGGTAAGCTCGTGTCACGGGGTTTTGTTGTACAGATTATTTCATTACCCAGGTACTAAGTCTAGTACCCAGTAGTTATTTTTTCTGTTGCTCTTCTTCCTCCCACTCTGCATACTCAGGCAGGTTCCAGTGTCTCTTGCTCTCCTTTCTGTTCATGTATTATCGTGATTTAGCAACCACTTAAAGTGAGAACATACATTATTTGGTTTTCTGTTCCTGCATTAGTTTTCTAAGGATAAGCTCCTCCAGCAATATCCATCTTCTTGCAAAGGATATGATCTTGTGCTTTTTTATAGCTGCATATTCCATGGTGTATATGTAGCACATTTTCTTTATCCAGTTTACCACTGATGGACATTTAGGCTAATTCCATGTCTTCACTATTGTGACTAGTGCTGCAATGAATGTACACATGCATATGTCTTTATGATAGAACAATTTATATTCCTTTGGGTATATACCCAGGAAAGAAATTGCTGGATTGAATGGTAGTTCTCTATTTAGCTCTTTGAGGAACTGCCACGTTGCTTTCCGTGAGGGTTGAACTAATTTGCACTCCACCAGCAGTACATAAGTGTTACCTTATCTCCACAAGGTTACTAGCATCTGTTACTTTGTGACTTTGTAACAATACCCATTTTGAGTGGTGGGAGGTGGTATCTTACCATGGTTTTGATTTGCATTTATCTACTGCTTCATGATTTTGAGCTTTTTTTATATGCTCCTTGGCCACATGTATGTCTTCTTTTGAAATGTGCCTGTTCATTTCCCTTGCCCAATTTTTAATGTTTTTTTTTGAAATTTATTTAACTTCCCTATAGAGGCTACATATTAGACCTTCCTCAGATGCATAGTTTACATGTATTTTCTCCCATTCTATAGGTTGTCTGTTTACTCTTCTGATCATTTCTTTTGTTTTGCAGAGAACCTCTTTAGTTCAAATAAATTGCATTTGTCCATTTTTCCTTTTGTTGCAATTGCTTTTGGTGTCTACATCATGAAATTTTTGCCAGTTCCTATGTCCAGAATGATATTGCCTAGGTTATCTTCCAGTGTTTTTATAGTTTTGAGATTTACATTTAAGTCTTTATCCACTTTGAGTTGAGTTTTGTATATGGTGTAAGAAAGGGGCCCAGTTTTAATCTTCAGCACGTGGCTAGCTAGTTATCCCAGTACCATTCACTAAATAGGGAGCTTTATCCCCATTGTTTGTTTTTGTCAGCTTTATCAGAGATCAGGTTGTTGCAAGTGTGTGGCCTTATTTTTAGGCTCTCTATTTTGTTCCATTGGTCTATGTGTCTGTTTTTGTGCCAGTACCATTCTGTTTTGGTTACTGTAGCCTTGTAGTGTAGTTTTAAGTCAGGCAGCATGTTGTCTCAAGCTTTGATCCATTTGCTTAGAAATGCCTTGGCTATTTGGACTCTTTTTTGGTTCCATGTGAATTTTAAAATTGGTTTGTCTAGTTCTGTGAAATATCTCAATGGTAGTTTAATAGAAATAGCATTGAATTTGTAAATTGCTTTGGGCAGTATGACCATTTTAATGATATTAATTATTTTCTTTTCCATGAGTATGGAATGTTTTTCCATTTGTTTTGTCATCTCCCATTTCTTTAAGCAGTGTTTTGTAATTATCATTGTGGAGATCTTTCACCTCCCTGATTAGCTGTATTACTATGTATTTCATTCTTTTTGTGGCAATTGTGAATTGGATTGCATTCCTAATTTGGCTAAGAGATTGGCTCTTGCTGTTGTATAGGAATGCTAGTGATTTAGATGTTGATTTTGTATTCTGAAACTTTGCTGAATTTGCTTATCAATTAAAGAACGTTTAGACTGAGACTATGGGGTTTTATAGAGGTAGAATCATGTCATTTGCAAACAAAGATAGTTTGATTTTCTCTCTTCCTTTGGGATACCCTTTAGTTCTTTCTCTTGCCTGATTGCTCTGGCCATGACTTCCAATATTATTTTGAATAGGAATGGTGACAGAGGGCATCCTTGTCTTGTGCCAGTTTTGAAAGGGAATGCATTCAGCTTTTAACCTTCAGTATGATGTTGGCTGTGGGTTTGTCATAAATGGCTCTTGTTATTGTAAGGTATGTTCCTTCAATACCTAGTTTATTGAGAGTCTTTAACATGAAGGGATGTTTAATTTTATCCAAAGTTTTTTCTACATCTTTGAGAAAATCCTGTGATTTTTGTCTTTAGTTATGTTTATGTGATGGATCACATTTATTAATTTGCATACATTGAGCCAATCTTACATCCTAGGGATAAATCCTACTTGATTGTTGTAGATTAGTTTTTTGATGTGCTGCTGGATTTCGTGTGCTAGTATTCCATTGAGAAAATTTGCATAGATGTTCTTCATGGAACTTTAGCCTAAATTTTTATTTTATTTTTTGTCTCTGCCATATTTTGGTATCAGGGTGTTGCTGCCCTCATAGAATAAGTTGGGGAGGAGTCCCTTCTCAAATTTTTGAAATAGTTTCAGTAGAAATGGTAATAGATCTTCTTTGTGCGTCTGGTAGAAATCATCTGTGATTCTTTCTACTCCTAGGCTATTTGTTTGGTAAGCTACATATTACTGATTGAATTTTGGAGTTCCTTATTGGTTTATTCAGGGATCCAATTTCTTCCTGGTTCAGTCTTGGGAGGGTTTATGTGTTCAGGAGTTTATTCATTTATTCTAGCTCTTCTAGTCCATGTGCACTGAGGTGTTCATAGTAGTCTCATTGTTATTTGTATTTCTGTGGGGTCAGTAGTAACATCCCATTTGTTATTTCTAATTGGGTTTCATTGAATCTTCTTTATTTTCTTCTTTATTAGTCTAGTTAATGTTCTATCTATGTTTTTAATTTTTTCAAAAAACAACTTCTTGATTCATCAATCTTCTGAAGGACTTTTTCGTCTCAGTCTTCAGTTCTCTCTGATTTTGGTTATTTCTTTTCGTCTGCTAGCTTTGGAGTTGGTTTTGCTCTTCTTCTCTAGATTTTTTGTTGTTACATTAGGTTGATAATTTGAGATCTTTCTGACATTTTGATGTGTGTATCTAGTGCTATAAATTTTTATTGTAACACTGCCTTGGCTATGTCTCAGATATTCTGTTTTTTTGGAGCTTTTCTCTCATTAGTTTCAAAGAATTTCTTGATTTCTGCCTTAATTTCATTATTTACCCAACAGTCATTCAGGAGCATGTTGTTTAATTTCCATGTAATTGTATGATATTGAGCAATTTTCTTAGTCTTGATTTCTATTTTTATTGTGCTATGGTCTGAGAGAATGGTTGGCATGATTACATTTCTTTTATAATTGCTGAGGAGTATTTTATTACAATTGTGTGGTTGATTTTAGACTATATACTGTGTCATCATGAGAAGAATGCATATTATGTTGTTTTGGGGAAGACAGTTCTGTAGATGTCTATTGGTCCATTTCTTCAGTGTTGAGTTCCAGTCCTAAATATCTTTGTTAATTTTCTTTCTCAATGATCTGTCTAATACTATCAATGAGGTGTTGAAGTCTCCCACCATTACTGTTGGGAGTCTGAGTCTATTTTAAAAACTCTAAGAACTTGCTTTATGAATCTGGGTGCTCCTGTGTTGGGTGAATATATATTTAGTATATTTAGGTCTTCTTGTTGAATTGAACCCTTTACCATTATGTAATGCCATGCTTTGTCTTTTTTTTTTTAATCTTTGCTGGTGTAAAGTCTGTTTTGTTTGTATAATTAGTATTGCAAACCTTGCTTTTTTCTGTTTTCCATTTTCTTTGTAGACTTTTTGACATGCCTTTATTTTGAACATATGGATGTCATTGCATGTGAGATGGGTCTCTTGAAGACACGATTCCACTGGATCTTACTTTTGTATCCAGCTTGTCACTCCCTTTTAATTGGGTCATTTATCCTTTTGATATTCATATTAGTATTGATATGTATGGATTTGATCCTGTCATCATGCTGTTAGTTTGTTATTATGCAGACTTGTTTGTGTGGTTCCTTTACAATGTTACTGATCTGTGTACTTAAGTGTGTTTTTGTAGTGGCTGGTTATAGTCTTTCTTTTCCATAATTCGTGCCTTTTTCAGGACCTCTGCTAAGGCAGGCCTGGTGGTAATGAATTTGCTCAGCATTTGCTTCTCTAAAGGGGAACTTATTTCTCCTTCACTTATGAAGCTTAGTTTGCCTGGATATTTAATTCTTCCTTGCAATTTATTTTATTTAAGAATATTAAATATAGCCCCCTTATGTCTTCTGGCTTTTAGAGTTTTTGCTCAGAGGTATGCCGTTAGTTTAATGGGCTTCTCTTTGTATGTTGCCTGTCCTTTCTCTCTAGCTGCCTTTATCAGTTTTTTTTTTTTTCTCATTTCAACCTTGGAGATTCTGATGAATTTGTGTGTTGGGTATAATCTTTTTGGTAAGTATTTTGTAGAAGTTCTCTGCATTTCCTGAGTTTGAATGTTGGCCTCTCTAGCTCGGTTGAGAAAGTTATCATGGATGCTGTCCTGAAATATATTTTCCAAGTTGCTTCCATTCTGCCCATGTCTTTCAAAAACACCAATATGTTGTAGATTTATTCTCCTTACATTATTCCATATTTCTCAGAGGTTTTGTTAATTTCTTTTTATATTTTGTTTATTCTTGTCTGAATGTCTTATTTCAGAAAGCCAGCCTGCAAACTCTGAGATTCTTTACTCAGCTTTGTCTATTATGCTGTTAAAATTTGTGATTACATTATGAAATTATTGTTGTGTGTTTTTCAGCTCTATCAGGTTGATTTTGTCTTTTCTATACTGGCTATTTTCTCTGTCAGCTCCTGTGTTACTTTATTGTAATTCTTAGCTTCCTTGGATTGGGTTTCAACATTCTCTTGAATCTCTATGATCTTCATTCTTACCTGTATTCTGCATTCTATTTCTGTCATTTCAGCCATCTCAGCTTGGTTAAGAACCATTGCTGGGAAACTAGTGCAGTTGTTTGGAGGAAAAAGGGCACTCTGGCTTCTTGAGTTATCAGAGTTCTTGCACTGGTTTTTTCTAATCTTTGTGGGCTGATGTTCTTTCAATCTTTGAAGTTGCTGCCCTTCGGATTTTTTTGTTTTGTTTTATACTATTTGATGACCTTGGAGATTTGATGGTAATATAAGGTGGGTCCAGTAAATTGGCTGTGTTTCTGGAAGATTTTAGGGGACAAGGTTCAGATCAGGACTTGTGGATAATGTGCTCTAATTCTTGGAGACTGATACTGGGCTGCAGGTTTGTTCTCTGGCTCCTCAAGGTTACGAACCTGCTGCGCTGTGGGGACCAAGATGCTCTCTCACTGCTGGTCACGACATTCTGAAGTGTGGTGCTAGCCAAAGTGCTTCACAGGGCAGTGGCAGTGGCATCTGTTCTTGTTTGCACATGCCAGACAGCAGCAGCAGCAGCAGCAGCAGCAGCAGCAGCAGAAGAAGAAGAAGAAGAAGAAGAAGAAGAAGAAGAAGAAGAAGAAGAAGAAGAAGAAGAAGAAGAAGAAGAGAAAGAAGAGAAGCAGCAGCAGCATGGCATAGTAAATGCTCATCACCTGTGGTGGAGTGCTAGTGGGTGTCGCCCTCCATGTGGGTGTTCACAGCAGTAGTCTTGGCAGCATGGCAAGAGAGGGTGGGGACCCCTGCAAGTGTCTGTGCATCTGTTTGTGCTGGTGGTGGTATTAGCCTGGGTGTGGGTCGCTGGTGGTGGCAGGAATGTGTGCACCCTCGTGCACATTCACACAGGCAGCAGGGGCCATTCAGGGCAGGGACGTGTTCACTGTTCTTCATGCCTAGGTGCCTGGTTTCATGCCAGTGGAAGTGTTACCACAGGGGCGGGGTGCTGTTGGGCTTTGTGCCCACCAGTGTTCCAATGGCAGTGGTGGGGCAGTAGGGAAAAGGGACGCATTGTGCACTCATGCCAGCAGCAGTGACACAGCAGGGTACACACATACATGGACTTGGTGAGTAATGGGAGGCAAGAGTCGCTAGTGCACACACACACATCAACAATGTGACATGGGAGGTGGCCGTGTGTAAGTGCATGCAGGCAAAGTGGCACTGGAAAGGCTGTAGTGTAGGGAGGGTGCAGGTAGGCTGTTGTGTGTCTGCAAGGGTCACTCTGCTAGAATTCTCTGTAGTCAGGTGTCATCTGCCATTGCAGGAGCTATGATGTAGGCCCGTAGGAGGTAACCCTCTTGCTACCCAAGTCATGTTCAGGCTTGGGTCACAGGAAAGGCCAGCAGACCAAAAGGTGCTGAGGTCAGACCAGCTCTGTCTCATGGGAAAGACAGCCTCCAGTGTCCAGGTTCAACATTTCCCCTGGGGCTAAAATCTCCTATGGAAGCAAGTTGAACATACAGAGATTGGCATTTTTGACTGGCCTTTACTACAGGCACTTCTGCACCAAAACCTCTGGGGTTTGCAATGGCTGGAGTTCTGACCCTATTATTTCTCTAAGCACCTCTCCCTGCCAACTCAAGTGTCTGTGGTGGTCATGTGGTCTGCTCATGTTGGGATTCCGGAGGTCTGTGGCAAGAGTGGGTTTCTCCTTGCCTGCTTTACTCACCCCTGCCCCAGTAGTTGTTGTGGGCCAGAAACAAGTCTCAGTGTACAGGTAGCCCTTTCAAAGTTCCCAGTCTCCTCCTTCTTCAGCTCAGTATCTGTGCCTTTCCTCTGTCCACTCTCATTGCCTTCTCTCCGAAGATATTCTAGGAGTGCACAAGTCTTTCTGATGTCCTGGTTCCTTGGTGGCAGGTGTTCCTCCTGGTTGCATCTAGTCAGCCATCTTGCCGAGAAAACCCCTAAAACCAGTAATGGTTATCATGCTAGCATTATGTGTGTCACTGTGTTTCTTGTCATTTAACCATGTATTAAATTTTTTTATTTGATGGTTTTATTTAACAACTCTATTGAGGTTTTAGATAACAAAAATCACATCATTAAAAACATTCAGTTTGGCTGGGAGCAGTGGCTCATGCCTGTAATCCCAGAACTTTGGGGGGCTGAAACAGGCGAATCACTTGAGCTCAGGAGTTTGAGATCAGTCTGGCCAACATGGTGAAACTCCGTCTCTACTAAAAATACAAAAATTAGCCAGGTATGTTGGTGAGTGCCTGTAATCCCAGCTACTAGGGAGGCTGAGGGAGGAGAATCACTTGAACTCGGAAGGCGGAGTTTGAAGTGAATGGAGATCATGCCACTGCACTCCAGCCTGGGCAAAAGATGAGACTCTCTCTGAAAAAAAAAAATTCAGTGATACGAGTTTCAGTAAATATGTGCTGTTGTGCAACCATCAAGTTGGACAACAAACCACAATCAAGTTTTAAAGTATTTACTTCATCTCAAAAAGTTGCCCTTTTACTCTCTGACATTCAATCCATGCTTTCACTCCTTATCCCAGGCAAAAGCAACTTATGCTTTTTGTCAATAAAATTGAGCCTTTTCTAGAACTGTTATAGAAATAAACATACAAATAAAAGTATACATCATTGAGGTATAAATGAATTTATACATTATGTAGTCTTTTTTATCTGACTTATTTAGCCTGCTGCTTTTGAGATTCACCCATGTTATTTTATATATCAGTAATTCATATTATTTTATTGCTGAATAGTACTGCTTTGTATGGATACAGCATATTCTGTTTATTCAATTCACCTGTTGATGGACATTTCCTATGTTTCTAGTCTTGTGATATTACTATTAATGAACTTATGAATACTTTTGTACAAACCTGTGTGGACAGTTATTTTTAGTTTTTATTTTTTGATTGATATCTAGGAGTGTAATTACTGCATTACATAACACATGTGAGTTTAACTTTATTAGAAAGGGCCAGATGCGGTGGCTCACGCCTGTAATCCCAGCACTTTGGGAGGCCAGGTCGAGCAGATCATCTGAAGTCAGGAGTTTGGGACCAGTCTGGCAAACATGGTGAAACCCCATCTCTAAAAAAATATAAAAATTAACTGGGCATGATGGCGAGTGCCTGTAATCCCAGCTACTCGGGAGGCAGAGGTTGGAGAATCACTTGAACCTGGGAGGAGGAGGTTGCAGTGAGCTGAGATCGCGTCATTGCACTCCAGCTTGGGTGACAGACTCTGACTCAAAAGAAAAAAAAAAAGAAAAGAAATGGCCAAATTTTTGGCAAAGCTGCTGTCTCATTTCATATTCTCTCTATGTATAAAGTTCTGGTTTTCCAGTTAGTTAGTCCATTCTACATCATTACCAACATTTTGGTATTAGGAGGCTTACTTTTTGTTTTGTTTTGTTTTGTTTTTGTGAGACAAGTCTCACTCTGTCACCCAGGCGGAAAGAGGCTTACTTTTCTAAGCCATTCTATTAGATGTGCAGTGGTATCTCGATGGGGTTTTTATTTTTACTTTCCTAATGAAAACTAGTGTTTAACAAATTTTTACATGCTTATCGGCATTTTTGTATCTTCTAGGGAGAAGTGCTTATTCACATTATTTACCCTGTTTTATCACACATACAAACACACACACACACATATATATACATATATATATATATAGAGAGAGAGAGTATATATATATATGGAATTGTTATATATATACACTATATATAATATATATATATACACATATATACAATATATATATATACACATATATATAATATATATCTATATACACACACACACATATATATATAATTACTCTGTTCACATGCTGCTAATAAAGCCATACCCGAGACTGGGTAATTTATAAAGGAAAGAGATTTAACAAACTCACAGTTCCACATGGCTGGGGAGGTCTCATAATTATGGTGGAAGGCAAATGAGGACCAAATCCAAGTCTTACATGGTGGCAGGCAAGAGATTTCAGTAGGGGAACTCCCATTTATAAAACCATCAGAACTTTTCAGATTAAGTCACTACCATGAGAACAGTACAGGGGTAACCGTTCTCATGATTGAATTATCTCCACCTGGCCCCGCCCTTGGCATATGGGGATTATTACAATTCAAGGTAAGATTTGGGTGAGGACACAGTCAAACCATTTTATATATATATATATATATATATACACACACACACACACACACACACATATACACACATATATATACATATATACACACACATATATACACACACTCGTATATATATTATATATACACACACTCGTATATATGTATATATGTGTATATATATGTGTGTATTTATATATATTTTTTCCACTGAATTATGTTTATATTTGCACCACTGTCTAAAAAAAAAATGTGATTTGCACATAGTTCTCCCAGTATGTCACTTGTGTTTTAATTCTCTTTCAACAGTGTCTTTCCAGGAGCAGAAATTTCTAATTTCAATGAAATCTAATTTTTAATTAATTTTAAATGTTTTTGCTCATCATAAGAAATCTTAGACTTTCTTTTACTTTTTAAAATTTTATTTATTTTAAATACACTTTATTGTGTATATTTTAGGTTTACATCATAATATTATGGGACAAATAGGGTAAAATGCTTACTATAGTGATGGAAATTCACATATATTATCGCACATACTTTTTTCTTGACAAGAGCAGCTAAAATTTACTTATTTAACAAAAATCTCTAATTCAGTACAATTGTATTAACTATAATCTTCATGTTATACATTATATCTCTAGACTTCTTCATCCTACATATCTACTATTTTGTATGTTTTGACCTCTAATACATGTACTCATTTCCTCTGGCCAAATACCCCACTTCTAGTTGCTAAGTTTTATTTGCTATATCTGTATATTTGATGTCTTTTTAAAGAGACTCCACGTGCAAGTAATTTCATGTAATACTTTTCCTTCTGTGCCTCTTATTTCATTTAGCATAATGTCCTTCAGTTTCATCCATGTTGTGTCAAATGACAGAATCTCATTGTTTTCAACGCAAAAGATTGTTTCACAGCAAAGGAAACAATCAATAAAATGAAAAACAACGTAAAGACTAAACAAAGTATTTGCATACCTCATATCTGATAAGGGATTAATGTCCAAAAATTATAAATAACTCTTACTACTCAATAGCAGAAAACAAATAATATGATTAAAATGGGCAATAGACATGAATAGATATTTCTCCAAAGGAGACATAAAAGTGGCCAATAGATATATGAAAATATTCTCGATATCACCAATTATCAGGGAAATGCAAACTAAAATCCCTCTGTGATATTACCTCACACCCATTAAAGTGTCTATCATCAGAAGGACAAGATACAACAAATGTTGGTGAAGGTGTGGTGAAAAGGACAGCCTAGCATACTGTTAGTGGAATATAGATTAGTGCAACAATTAACTCTTACTCTTACAACTATGATCAATTTTGAATTAATTTTTAATTATGTCATGCGGTAGGTTTCAAGGATATAGTTTCAACATTTTGGATGTTGTGTGTTTATGTGTGTGCTTTTCATACGGCTTTACAATTATTACAGTGCCATTTAATGAAAGGAAACTTTTAACCCTTTTATTTATTTATTTATTTATTTATTTATTTATTTATTGAGACGGAGTCTCGCTCTGTCATCAGGCTGGAGTACAGTGGTGCGATCTCAGCTCACTGCACCCTCCACCTCCCAGGTTCAAGCGATTCTCCTGCCTGGGCCTCCCGAGTAGTTGGGTCTATAGGCGCGCACCACCTCTGCCAGTTAATTTTTGTATTTTTAGTAAAGACGGGGTTTCACCATGTTGGCCAGGATGGTCTCAATCTCTTGATCTCATGATTTGCCCGCCTCAGCCTCCCAAAGTGCTGGGATTACAGGCATGAGCCACCACACCCGGTCCTTTTACCCTTTAATAGCATTTGCATTTTGATCAAAAATTACTTATTCATGTATTATGGGTATATTTAAAGATTACATTATGTTTTGATTAATCTACAGTTTCATGCTTATCCTTATCAGTTACTTTGAGAGGAGTGTTGATATCTGTAACTATAATTATGGATTTGTTTCTTAACCTTTTTAATTACTTCAGTTCCTGTTCTACATATATTACAGCTATGTTTAGTAATCATTTATATTTAGAATCATTATGTCTTTTTGAAAAACTAATCTACTTTGGTGTCTAACAATGTTTCATTTAAAGTTTATTTTGTATGATATTGCATACCAATTCCAGCTTAATTAGTGTTTCATCATACATCTTTCCTCATTTTTTTCACTTTTAACATATTTACTTCTTTATATTTAAAGTCGTTTCCTGTATATAGAATATAGTAGAATAAATTTTTCTTATTTAATTTGACAATCAATGCATCTAATTTGGATATTCAGTAAATGTATATTTAATGTAATAATTGATATAATTTATTTAAAATCTACTGGGCAGCTGGTTTCTTCCAGTTGTTTGATCTCGTGTTTTTTATCTTTTTTTCTGTCTGGTTTATTTTTTGTTAACGACTTTAAGTTATATTTCACATACAGTACAACATACATATTTAAATTGTACACTTAATGGATTTTAGCATATTCACAGTTTTCAAACTATCATCACAAAATAATTTTAGAATATTTTTAATACTAAAAAGAGATATTTTTTACCCATTGTGATGGTTGGTTTTATATGTCAACTTGACTGGAAGTGCCCCAGTAGCTAGGAAAACATTATTTTTGGGTGTGTCTGTTAGGTTGCTTCTGGAAAAGCTTAACATTTGAATTATAAACATAGCGAAGATTGCCGTAACCAATTTGAGTAGGCAATATCCAATTAGTTGAAAATTCAGATATAATAACATGACAGAGAAAGGGCAAATTTGCTCTCTTTGCTTGAGCTGGGAAATCCATGTACTCCGGCCCTTGGATATCAACACTTCTGGTTCTTGAACCTTTGGCCTCAGCCAAGGACTTGAACCATTGGCTCCCTTGGTCCTCAGGCCTTCAGACTTTCACTGTCACTATACTACTGGCTTTCCACAGCCTCAAGCTTAAAGTTGAATAATGTGCTATTTCTCAGTCTTCATAATTTCATAAGCGAATGTTTCACAATAAACCATATGTATATATATTTGTGTGTGTATATATACATATATATGTGTGTTTGTGTGTGTGTGTGTATAGGTATATCCTACTGGTTCTGTTTCTCTAAGGAACCCAGAGTAATACAGATTTTTAAACCAAGAGTGGTTCTAGAAAAAAAATTTTCAGAATACATGTTCTAAAATTTCTTATGAGGTTTCTGAAATTTTCGCTCTAATGTGATTAGATTTAAAGATAGTAAAGTTTCTATTTCCAGTAGTAAAGATAGCATCTATAGCTATGGTGTGAACTATTTATGGAGATACACAAAATATCTGCTTTAGATACTCCTAAACTACTTATAAAAATAAAGGAGCTAACTGACTGTGTATGTAATAGTTTCAAGCATTTTTGTAAAACTAAGAAACATAATGCCATTGGTTGGTTCTTTCTAATGTCACTGGTAAAAGTAGTAAAAGAAAAGCATGAGCCAAAGGACTTAGATTTACAGCTCAAGTGCCACGTAAGTGACCTAAGAGCTTCTATGTATTCCTGAATGAGTACCTAATCTTTTGTAGCAGCAGAACCAATATTTACAAAATAAAATGTGGAGTCTCATCCTTTATTTGGATGAACTACAACAACAATTGAACTCCCATTTTCACAGGGCTCTACTATAAAATTGATGGCACTGAGTGGGAAAAAGTGGGATCATATAACTTCTGATTAGAGCATATGGAAAAACTCTGATGAAGCTAAAAATATTTATCTCCTGAATTCTGATGAGACTTCTTTCCAAATGAAAGAGGTCTCCCCACCCACCTTGGAAGCAGCCTCTTCAACCCCAGCAGAAGTAATCTTGCCACCACCATGAGCAGTGATCTGCAAATGCCAATTGGTATTGTCCTTTACACCCAGAGTAGTATCTGCCTTTCCAAGTCCTTATAAGATAATTAATCTTACATTGCCTGAATTAATGGTAATGAGCTCCCCGAGGCAATTTTTATGCAAGACTATTCTGATTTTCTTGAAGATGCACCTGCTATAGCCCCTCTTTGATACTAAACCAATAACTATACTAAAGTGCCAGCAGGTCCCTAAAGGTGAGGCACAAAGTATGACCCATGAGAACATATGCTACACTCCAGAGGAACTACTTGAATTTTCTAATTTATACAACCAGAAATCTAGGAAAACTGTGTGTGAATGGATGCTAATGGTGTGGGATAATAATGGAAATAACATAAAATTAAATAAAACGGAATTTGTTAATATGGGTTAGTGAAGCAGAGATTCAGCATTTGATGTTGTAGCTTGGGGAGTTATAAAGGACTCTAACAGTTTAATTGATTGCTGAAACATAGACCAAAACATGGCCCACTCTGAATGAATTGAAAATGCTCAACCTCCCTTGGTTTAATGTGGAAGAAAAATCCAAAGCCTTAGGGAGTTTAATATGTTAGAGTAGATTTGTCATTTAATACCTATTTATCTGCACTAAGAGGGCCCAGAAGACATACTTTTCACCAAAACTTTTAGAAATAAATTTATGAAGAGGCATCTCAGTATTTTTGAATAGTTCCATAATTACTTTGTAGCACAGAATTTACAATGGAATGATAACAAGTGTTGGTAAAGACGTGGAGAAATTGGAATGCTTGAACAATCTTGGAAGGAATGTAAATTACACGTTCATTATGAAGAATTGTATGGAGGTTTCTTATAAAACCAAAAATAGAATTACCATGTAATACAGTAATTCCACTTCTGGGTATATATCTCAATAACTTGAAATCAGTATGTTGAAGAGATACCTACACTCTCAGTAATGAGATTGCTGGGTCAGATAGTAGTTCAGCTTTTAGCTCTTTGAGGAATCACTGTACTGCTTTCCACAATGGTTGAACTAATTTATACCCCCTCCAATAGTGTATAAATGTTTTATTTCTTTGCAATCTTGCCAGCATCTTTTACTTTTTGACTTTTTAATAGTAGCCATTGTGGCTGGTGTGAGATTGTATCTTATTGTGGTTTTGATTTGCATTTCTCTAATGATCATTGGTATTGAGAGTTTACTCATACGCTTATTGTCTGTCTGGAAGTCTTATTTTGAGAAATGTCTGGTCATGTCCTTTGCCCACTTTCTAATGAGGTTGTTTGCTTTCCTCTTGTAAAATTAAGTTCCTCATCGATGTTAAATATTAGACCTTTGACAGATGCATAGTTTGCAAATATTTTCTCACATTATGTAGGTTGTCTGTTTACTATGTTGATAGTTTATTTTGCTGCGCAGAAGCTCTTTGGTTTAATTAGATCCCACTTGTCAATTTTGCTTCTGTTGTGATTGATTTGGTGTTTTTGTCACAAAATCTTTGCCCATTCATATGTCGAGGAAGGTATTGCCTAGGTTGTTTTCCAGGGTTTTTATAATTTGAGGGTTTACATTTAAGACTTAATTCATTTTGAGTAGATTTTTGTGTATGATGTAAGGAAAGGGTTCAGTTTAAGACTTCTGCATGTGGCTAGCCTGTTATCCTAGCACTATTTATTGAATAGGGAGTCTTTTTCCGTTGCTTATTTTTGTCAGCTTTCTCAAAGATCAGATGGTCATAGATGTACTGCCTTATTTCTGAGTTCTTTATTCTGTTCCACTGATCTATGTGCCTGTTTTTGTACCAGTGCCATGCTGTTTTGGTTACCGTACACTTGTAGTAGAATTTGAAGTCAGGTAATTTAATGCTTTCAGATTTGTTCTTTTTGCTTAGGTTTTTCTTGGGTATTAGGGTAATTTTTTGGTTCCATATATATTTTAAAGTAGTTTTTTCTAGTTCTGTGAAGAATGTCATTGGTACCTTTATAGGAATAGCAATGAATCTGTAAAGTGCTTTGGGCATTAAAAGCAGTATGGCCATTTTAATAATATTAATTATTTATATTAATGAGCATGAGATGTTTATGCATTTGTTTGTGTCTTCTTTGATTTATTTGAGGAGTGCTATGTAATTCTTTGTGTAGATCTTTCACCTCCATGGATAGCTGCATTTCTAGGTATTTTACTCAATTTGTGGCAGCTGTGAATAAGGTTGCCTTTCTGACTTGACTCTTGTTGGTGTATAGGAATGAGAGTGACATTTATACATTAATTTTGTATCCTGCAACTATGCTGAAGCTGTTAGTAACCTGGAGGAGCTTTTGGTCCAAGACTATGGGCTTTCCTAGATACAGAATCAGGTCACTTACAGAGATAGTTTGTCTTTCTTTCTTTCTTTCTCTCTCTCTCTCTCTCTCTTGGATGCCCTTTATTTTTTTCTTCTTCCTGATTGCTCTGTCTAGGATTTCCAATACTACGTGAATAAAGTTGTGAGAGAGGTACTTTATGTGGGTTTCAAGGGAATTCTACTACTCTTGTCCATTCAGTATAATGTTAGCTGTGGGTTTTTCATAGATGGCTCTTATTATTTTGAGGTAAGTCCTTCAACACCTAGTTTATTGAGAGTTTTTAACATAAACTGTTGTTTACTTTTATTGAAAGCCCTTTCTGCGTCTACTGAGATAATCATGTGGTTTTTGTCTTTACTTCTGTTCATGTGTTGAATCACATTTATTAATATGTATGTGTTGAACCAACCTTGCATCCCAGGGTTAAAGCTTACTTGATCATGGCGAATTAGCTTTTAGATGTGCTGCTGGATTCAGTTTGCAAGTATTTTTTTAAGGATCTTTGCATCAATGTTTATCAATGATATTGGCCTGAAGTTTTTATTTTGTTGTGTCTCTTTCAGGTTTGGGTATCAAGATGATGCTGACCTCACAGAATGAGTTGGGAAAGAGTTCCTTCTCCTCAATTTTTTTGAATAGTTTCTGTAGAAATGGTACCAGGTCTTCTTTGTACATCTGGTAGATTCAGCTGTGAATCCATTAAATCTCAGGCTTTCTTTGGTAGGTAGACTATTTATTCCTGGTAAAATTTCAGAGCTCATTATCAGTCTTTTCAGGGAATCAGTGACATTCTAGCTCAGTCGTGGGAGGGTGTATGTGTCCAGGAATTATCCTTCTCTTCTAGGGCTTCTAGTTTGTATGCATAGAATTGTTTGTAATAGTCTCTGATTTTTTTTTGTTTTTATTTCTTTGGGGTCTTTAACATTTTCTTCATCATTTCTAATTGTGTTTATTTGGATCTTATCTCTTTTCTTATGTATTAGTCTAGCTAGTGGTATATCTATTTTAACAAATTCTCCATAAAACCAACTCCTGGATTGTTTTATCTTTTCAATGGTTTTTCACGTGTTGTCTTTCAATTCAGGTCTGATTGTTGTTATATCTCATCTTCCATTAGCTTTGGGGTTAATTAGTTCTTGCTTCTCTAATTTTTTTTAAGTTGTGAAGATAGGTTGTTAATTTGAGATCTTTAAATTTTTAGATGTGGGCATTTAATGCTATGAATTTCCCTCATAACACTGCCCTAGGTGTTTCCCAGAGACTCTGGTATGTTGTATTTTTGTTCTCATTATTTTCAAATAACTACTTGATTTCTGCCTTTATTTCTTTATTTACCCAAAAGTCATTAAGGAGCATGTTGTTTAATTTTTACATTATTGCATGGTTTTAACTGATATTTATAGTCTTGACTTCTCTTTTTATTGTGTTGTGGTCCAAGAGTGTGCTTGGTATGATTTTGGTTCTTTAAAGTTTGTTGAGAATTGTTTTATGGCCAATTATGTGGTCAATTTTAGATTATGTCCCATGTGCTCATTAGAAGAATGTATATTCTGTTTTTTTTTCTTGGGCAGACAGCTCTGTAAATGTCTGTTAGATCCATTTGGTCCAATATTGTTAGGTCCTTAATATCTTTGTTAATTTTCTGCCTTGATGATCTAATACCATCAATACAGTGTTGAAATCTCTCACTATTATTGCATGGGAGTCTATATCTCTTTGTAGGTCTCTAAAAGCTTGCTTTATAAATCTGGGTGCTCCTGTGTTGGGTGCATATATATTTGGGATTGTTAGGATTTCTTGTTGAATTGAACTCTTCACCATTATGCAATGCCCTTCTTTGTCTTTTTTGATCTTTGCTTTTTTGAAATGTATTTTTTTCTGAAATTAGGGTTGCAACTTATGCTTTTTTTAGTGTGTTCCATTTCCTTGGGAGATTCTCCTCCATACCTTTATTCTGAGCCTATTTGACTTTGTTTTCACACTGCCATAAAGAACTGCCTAAGACTGGGTAATTTATAAATAAAAGAGGTTTAACTGACTCACAATTCCACATGGCTAGGGAGGCCTCAGGAAATTTACAATCACAGTGGAAGGCACTTCTTCACAGGGCAACAGGAGGCAGAATGAGTGCCAGCAGGGAAAATGCCAGATGCTTATAAAACCATCTGATCTCCTAAGAACTCACTTACTATCATGAGAAGAGCATAGGGGAGTCATCCCCATGATTCAGTTACCTCCACCTTGTCTCTCCCTTGACAAGTGTGGAATTATGGGGATTACAATTTAAGATGAGGTTAGGGTGGAGACACAAAGCCTAACTGTATCAGAATGTCATTATTTGTGAGATGGGTCTCTTGATAACAGCATATCATTTGGTCTTGCTTTTTTAACCTGATTGACATTCTGTGCCTTTTACGTGGGGCATTTACCCTGTTTACATTCAAGGTTTGTAATGATAAGTGTTGAATTGATCCTGTCATTTTGCTGTTAGCTGGTTATTATGTTGGCTTGTTTTTGTGGTTGCTTTATAGTGACACTGGCCTGTGTGTTTGTGTGTTCTTGTATTAGCTGGTAGTGGTCTTTCCTTTCTATATTTACTGCTCCTTTCAGGATATCTCTTAAGGCAGGTCAGGTGGTAATGGATTCTCTCAACTTTTGCTTATCTGAAAAGAATCTTATTATTCCTTCACTTAGGCAGCTTAGTTTGGCTGAATATAAAATTATTGGTTGAAGATTTTTTTTCTTTACGGATATTGAATATAGGTCTCCAATCTCTTCTGGCTTATAGGGTTTCAGGTGAGAGGTCCACTGTTCGCCTGATGGGATTTTCTTTCTAGGTGACCTGCCCTTTCTCTTTAACTTACTTTAACATTATTTTTTCTTTTTTCACTTCAACCTTTAAAAATCTCATGGTCTTTGGGATGATCTTCTTATGTACAATATTTCAGGAGTTCTCTGTATTTTCTGATTTTGAGTGGTGGCCTCTCTAGCAAGGTTGACAATGTTTCATGAATGATATCCTGAAATATGTTTTTCAAGTTGTTTGCTTTCTCCCCCTCCCTTTTAGGGATGCTAATGATTCATAGATTTAGCCTTTTTACATAACCCTGTACTTTTCAGAGGTTTTGTTCATTCCTTTTTATTTTTCTTTTGATATTTTGGTCTTACTGTCTTATTTCAGGGAACCAGTTTTCAAGTTCTGAGATTTTTTTCATCAGCTTGGTTTATTCTGCTGTTAATACTTGTGATTGCATTGTGAAATTGTGGTATTGTGTTATCCAGCTCTTTCAGACCTCATAGATTTTTTGTTGTTGTTGTTTTTTATTGGCTACTTTGTCTTTCAGCTTCTGCATCCCTTTATTATGATTCTTATTTTCCTTGATTTGGGATTTGCCATCCTCCTGAATCTTGCTGATATTTTGTTCTATCCATATTCTGAATTCTATTTCTGTCATTCCAGTCAATTCAGCCTGATTAAGAACTCTTGTTGGAGAACTGGTGCAGTTGTTTGAAGGACATATGACAATCTGGCCATTTGAGTTATTGGAGTTCTTGAGATGGTTTTTTATCTCATCTCTTAATGTGGGCACTCTTTTATTAATAACTGCATTGTAGATTAAGAACAGTCAATAGACTTCTTTTCTGGATGTTTTCAAAAGGCTGAGTCTCTATGAAGAGTCTTCAACTACATCTGCCTTCTTGTCTATGTTTTCAGAGGGGGTTATGTTAGTGAGGTGTTTTCATGTTGTAGCTTTGGGGTGTGATCCAGCAGGTAGCACTTAGGCTTATTGGTCAGTTGTTAGGCTCTTGATCTGTTGTGTGGCCCTGTTTTCTCACAGTTGCAGCCATGTTCCCTTTCTGTGCTCTGAAAGTGTTGGTTTCTCTCTCCCATGAGTGCTGGCTGCAGATTGCAACTTGGCACTCCTGGGCTGCCCACTGCAGTTTTAGGGTGAACTCAGTGTTTATGTTTCTTCCCCAACTTGGAGGCAGCAGAGAAAGGGATCTTAGTAGTGTTTGTCTCCTGGGGGCTCCATCCTAGAGAGATGCAGTTCAGCAATCACTCAGTGCAAAAAGACCAAGATTGAGGGTATGTGCTGTGGGCCCAAGCCAGAAGTTCCCTGTCTGGTGACAAGAAGTGGGGGGTGGGGTGTGTGGGACCCATGGGAAATGGACTGGCCTCCTCTCCTAGGGTTGACTGCAGCTTGATGGAAGTGTGGATAAGGCACTTAGGCTCTTTGCTCCTTAGTTAGTTTGAGGGTGGTAAGGGCAGTTCTACTGCAAAGGCAGTGGCAGAGACTTTCAGTTGTCCCTGAAGGTTCTGCCCAGGGAGTTGCTGAGTTGCTACTGGCTCGATAGCTCTTGCATGATGTGGCTGGAGGCCAAGGCTTGGAGGACATTCCTGGTGAGGAGATATGAAAACAAACATGTACCTGATTTCTTTTTTTTTTTTTCAATTTGGATGCACTTTATTTCTTTTTCTTGTCAGATTGTTCTAGCTCTAGGTACGACTTCCAGTACTGTGTTGAAAAACAATGGTGAAAGTGGGCAACCTTGTTGTGTACCAGATTGTATTAGTCCATTCTCACACTGCTTGAAGAAATACACGAGACTGAGTAATTCATACATTAAAAAAATGATATTCTGTCACTTGCAACAATGTGGATGGAACTGAATACCAGAATGTTAAACAAAATAAACAAGGCACAGAAAACAATCATTGCATATTTTCACTATTTGTGTGATCTAAAAATCAAAACAATTAAACTTATGATGATGGAGAGTAGAAGAATGGTTTACCAGAGGTGGGACACAGTAGTGGGCAGGTAGCAGGAGTAGGGGATGGTTAATGGCTACCAAAAAAAAATAGAAATAATAATAAGATCTAGCATTTGATAGTACAGAAGGGTGACTATAGTCAATAGTAACTTAATCATACATTTATAAATAAATTAAAATGTAATTTGTTTGTAACAACACAAATGATTAATGACAAAGATAATGAATATCTCATTTTCCATGATGTGATAATTGCACATTGCATGACTGTATAAAAATATCTCATGTATTTCATAAATATATACAACTACTATATACCCACAAAATTAAAATTTTCTAAATAAAAAATATTCTATTGTATTTCATTCACAAGAAGTCAACTTTAATTATAAAGAGACACATAGATAAAATTAGAAGAACAGATAAAGATAAATCGTGCTAACATTAATAAAAACAAAACTGGAGTAGTTATATCAGTATTTTATTAAAGATGGGTAAATTACATATTGACAAAGTGATTAATTCTCAACAAAGACATAACAATTATTAACGTGTACACACCTAACATCAAAGCATCAACATATATAAGGCAAAAACTGATAGAATTGCAAAAAGAAATGTATAAATCCATTGTTATAGTTGAGAATTTTACATATCTCTATCAGTAATGGGCAGATCCATCACATATAAAATTAGTAAGGATATAGTTAAACCTAACAACATAATCAATCAAATGAATATTATTGTCATCTATAAAATAATTTTTATAACAACAGCATAATACACATTATTCTCCAGCTTGCATAGAATATTCCCCAAAATATATTTCATTCTGGCTGGGAGCATTGGCTCACATCTTGTAATACTAGCTCTTTGGGAGGCAGAGGCAGGAGGATTTCTTGATGCCAGAAGTTTGAAAACCAGCCTGGGCAACATACTGAAAATGCTCCTGTATTAGTCAATTTTCACTCTGCTGATAAAGACATACAGGAGATGGGGAAATTCATACAGGAAAAGGTTTATGGGACTTATAATTTCACATGGCTGGAGAAGTCTCACAATCATGGTGGAAGGCAAGGAGGAGCAAATCACATCTTCCATGGATGGCAGCAGGTAAAGAGAGAGCTTGTATAGGGAAACTCCACCTTATAAAGCCATCAGATCTTCTGAGACTTATTCACTATCATGAGAACAGCATGAGGAATACCTGCCCCATGATTCAATTACCTTCCCCCGCATCCCTCCCACAACATGTGGGAATTCAAAATGAGATTTGAGTGGGGACACAGCCAAACCACACCATTCCACATCTGGCCCCTCTCAAATCTCATGTCCTCATATTTCAAACCAAATCATGCCTTCCCAATAGTTCCTCAAAGTCTTAACTTATTTCAGCATTAACTCAAAGTCCATAGTCCAAAGTCTAATCTGAGACAAGGCAAGGCCCTTCCACCAACGAGCCTGTAAAACCAAAAGCAGGTTAGTTACTTCCTAGATACACTGGGGTACAGGCATTGAGTGAATACAGCCATTTCAAATGGGAGAAATTGGCCAAATCAAAGGGGCTACAGGCCCTACGCATGTCTGTAATCCAGCAGGGGAGTTAAATCTTAAAGCATCAAAATGATCTCTTCTGACTGCATGTCTCACATCCAGGTCACACTGATGCAAGTGGTGGATTCCCATGGTCTTGGGCAGCTCCATCCCTGTGGCTTTGCAGGGTACAGCCTCACCTCCTGGCTGCTTTCATGGACTGGCATTGAGTGTCTCTGGCTTTTCCAGGTGCATGGTGCAAGCTGTCAGTGGATCTACAATTCTAGGGTCTAGAGGATGGTGGCCCTCTTCTTACATCTCCACTAGGTGGTGTCCCAGTAGAGATTCTCTGTGGGGGCTCTGACCCCACATTTGCCTTCTGCGCTGCCCCAGCAGAGGTTCTTCATGAGGGCCCTGCCCCTGCAGCAAACTTCTGCCTGGGTAACTGGGCATTTCCATACTCCTCTGAAATCTAGGCAGAGGTTCACAAACCCAGATTCTTGACTTCTGTGCACTGGCAGGCTCAATACCACATGGAAGCTACCAAGGCTTGAGGCTTGCATCCTCTGAAGCCACAGGCTGAGCTTTATGTTTACCCCTTTCAGGCATGGCTGGAGCAGCTGGAATGCAGGGCACTAAGTTTCTAGGCTTCACACAGCACTGCAATTCTGGGCCCAGCCCATTAAACCACTTTTTCCTCCTAGGCCTCCTGGCCTGTGTTGGGAGGGGCTGCCATGAAGACCTCTGATATGCCCTGGAGACATATTCCCCATTGTCTTGGGTATTAACATTAGGCTCTTCATTAACAATGTAAATTTCTGCAGGTGGCTTGAATTTCCCCTCAGAAAATGGAATTTTTATTTTCTATTGCATTCTCAGGCTGCAAATTTTCTGAACTGTTATGCTCTGCTTTTCTTGTAAAACTGAATGCTTTAAACACCACCCAAGTCAAGTCTTGGATGCTTTGCTGCTTAGAAATTACTTCCACCAGCTACTCCAAATCATCTCTATCAAGTTCAAAGTTCCACAAATTCTAGGGCAGGGGCAAAATGCCACCAGTCTCTTTGCTAAAACATAACAAGTATTACGTTTTCTCCAGTTCCCAACAAGTTCCTGATTTCCCTCTGAGATCACCTCAGCCTGGACTTTATTTTTTATTTTTATTTTTTTGAGATGGAGTCTCTGCCTCCCAGGCTGCAGTGCAGTGGTGGGATCTCAGCTCACTGCAACCTCTGTCTCCCGGGTTCAAGCAATTCTTCTGCCTTAGCCTCCGGAGTAGCTGGGATTACAGGCATGCACCACCACGCCCAGCTAATTTCTGTATTTTTAGTAGAGATGGGGTTTCACCATGTTGATCAGGCTCGTCTCATACTCCTGACCTCCTGATCCTCCCTCCTCAGCCTCCCAAAGTGCTGGGATTACAGGTGTGAGCCACCGTGCCTGGCTGGTCTTTATTGTCCATATTGCTAACAGCATTTTGGGAAAAGCCATTCAACAAGTCTCTAGGAAATTCGACACTTCCCCATATTTTCCTGTCTTCTTCTGAGACCTCCAAATTGTTCCAGCCTCTGCCTGTTACCCAATTCCAAAGCCTCTTCCACATTTTTGGGTATCTTTTCAGCAGTGCCCCACTCCTGGTACAAATTTACTGTATTAGTCTGTTTTTACACTGCTAATAAAGACATACCCAAGACTGGGTAGTTTACACAGGAAAAGGGGTTTATTGGACTTACAGTTCTACATGGCTGGAGAAGTCTCACAATCATGGTGGAAGGCAAGGAAAAGCAATTCAAGTCTTACATGGATGGCAGCAGGCAGAAAGCTTGTGCAGTGAAACTCTGCCTTATAAAATCATCAGATTTCATGAGACTTATTTACTATCATGAGAACAGCATGGGAAAGACCTGACCCCATAATTCAATTACCTCCCACCACGTCTCTCCCACAACATGTGGGAATTCAAGATGAGATTTGAATGGGGACACAGCCAAACCATACTACCTACCCCTTCTAAAAATAAATTATCTGGGTGCAGTGGCACATTCCTGTAGCCCCAGCTACCTGAGAGGCTGAGAGAAAATTGCTTGAGCCCAAAAGCTCAAATCTGCAGTGAACTATTACTTCACCACTGTACTCCAGTCTGAGTGACAGAAAGAAACCCTGTCTCTCACTAAATATATATGAACACTATACTCTGGCCATAAAATACACTGAAACCAATTTAAAATATTAGAAATTACAATGTCTGTTCTCTGACTACAATGAAATTAAATTGAAAGTTAATAATGGGAATATTGTTTTAAAATATCAAAATACTTTGAGATTAAACAGCACACTTCTAAATAAAATTGTCAAAGAAGTAATTTCAGAAAAATTTAAAAATGTATTTTGAACAAAATGAAATTGAAAATACAATTATCAAGATTCATAGGATGGAGTAAAAGCAGTGTTTAAGAAAAAAGTAGCATCGAATGCATATATTGAAGAAAAGAGATTTTAAAATCAGTAATTCTAGACTCCACCTTAGGAAAATGGATAAGTAAAATAAAAAAAGAATAAAAATAAAAGAAAAGAAAAAGTAGAAAAATTAAAATCCAAAATAATCAGAACAAAAATAAAATTAAAAATTTGAACACAAATCAATAAAATTGAAAAAAGAAAATTAATACAGAAAATCAACAAAATTAAAAGCTGGTCTTTTCAAAAGTCCAAAAAAATAAAAAAAAATTCTTGCCATTATAAGAAAACACACACACACAATTTACTAATAACAGAAATTAAATAAGGAACATTACTACAGATCCCATGAACATGAAAAATACAGTAAAGGAACATATTGAACAAATGTATTTTCAAAAATTGGATAATCCAAATGAAAGAAATTACTTGAACTACACAAACTGCCAAAATTAAAGCATTACCAAAAAAATGCTACAAACTAATATTTCTTATGAACATAGATGCCAAAAATTCTCATCACAATGTTAGCATACTATAATTTAAAAATTGTACAAAAAATTATACACTAAATATCAGTTTATATTTATCCCATGTATGTAAGGTTGTTTTAACATTCAAAAATAACTTTATGTAATTCATATTAACAGGTTAAACAACAAAACATACATAATTTTATCAGCAAATAAAAAAATTATTTGACAAAATCCAACACTTCTTCATAATTAAAACTCTCAGAAAACTAGAAATTGAGGGAAAAATCCCTCAACTTGATAAAGAACACCTGCCAAAACAAACAAACAAATGAACAGTTAACTTCAAACTTGATAGGGAGAAACTAGACGCTCTCTTACCTAAGATTAGGAAAAATTCTGAAATGTCCCTTTTTTCACTTCTTTTCAACATTATAATGGACATTCTAGCTAATGCAGTAAGACAAGAACAAATAAAAGGCATTCAGTTTGAGAAGAAAAAATACTTTTTGTTCTCAGATAATAGGTTTATCTATGTAGAAAATCTGAATAAATCAACAAAGAAGTTCCTGGAATTAGCAAGCAATTACAGGAAGGTTGAAGAATACAAGGTTAAAAGCAAAAGTCAATTATTTATTTATATACTAGTGACGATTTACTAGAATCCAAAATTAAAAATACAGTGCCATTAACAAATGCACCGACAAATTAAGTACATAGAAATAAATTATATGTACAAGATTATTATTAGGCAAACAAAAAACTCTAAAAATTTATAAAACTCAGATAAATAAATATTTAATGTGCATACAAGAAAAGATTCAATACTGTCCAGATATCAATTTTTTCTATGTTGATCTATTCATTTAAAAACAATCTCAATTAGAATTCCAGTAAGTTATTATATAAATACCAACAAACTAACTTTTAAGTTTATACAAAAAGGAACAAATATACAGAATAGCTAATATAATCTTGAAGAACAAAGACAAACCTGAAGGACTAAAACTATGTATTCTAAAGATTTATTATAAAAGTACAGTCACCAATCAGTGTGGTATTTGTGAAGAAAAAGACCAGTAAAAAATTGTAACAAAATAAGCAGAAGTATACTCAAACAGTCAAGTAATTTTGATAAGAATCAAAAACAATAAACTGGAGAAAATATTTGTTTCTTTTAAATAAACATCTGCCTTTATAACAAATGACATTGGAACAGTTGGATATGTAAAGCAAAGAAAAAAAATCTGGATGCAGATGTTACACTCTGTATACAAATTAACTCAAAATGGATTATAGACCTAAATGTAAAATGGAAAACAATAAAAGATAACTCCTAGCATGTAACATCTCCATGCCTTTGGGTTTGGTAATGATATTTTAAATCCAGCACAAAAAAGAAAAATTTATGAAAGAAATAATCTTCATTAAAATAAAAATGTCTGCTCTAAGATAGTACCAAAAATAAGAAGATAAGCCACAGACTTGGGAATACATTTGCACAAAACATTTAAGATAAATGACTGCATCTGAAATATACAAAAAAAATCTTAAAATTCAACAAAATAAAACGAACAACCTGATTAAAAATAGACAAAATATCTGGACAGACACTTCACCAAAAAAGATATACAAATAAAAAACAAACATATAAAATATGCTGTATATATTTTGTTATCACATAATTAAAAATTAAAACAACAATGAGATACATAGCAATAGAGAGTGAGAGTAAAATGTTGATTACCAGAAGCTGGGGTGGTTGGAAGGGTGGGTTTAAAAAGATCTTGGTTACAGGATACAAAATTACACTTTGATTAAAAGAAATAGTTACTGCATCATCTAAGTGTAATTGCATCTAAGTGTAATTTTGTAACCTGTAACCAAGATGTTTTCATCCCCACCCTTCCAACCGCCCCAGCCTCTGCTAATCACCATTTAAATTGCTGAGAGTGGATATTAAGTATTGTCTTTAAAAAACAACTATGTTAGGTAATGCATATGTTAATTAGATGGATTTAATCATTCAAAAATGTATATGTAATCAAAACATAATCAGAATATATTGTATATCATAAATACATACAGTTTAAACTGAAAATGTAAATTAAATATAAATAAATTTGAAAATAAATAAACTAAATCACTATAGACACAGAAAGATGCAGTATTTACCACATGATGTTTTCGAAGCATTTCTGCTTAATCAAAAGTAACTTTAATACATTTTTATTTTTTATTAGATACCATTTTCTACTTGCAGAAGAAAACAATTTTCTCAATTGTGTAATTTTTATAAAATGTTTTGTTAGGTAAATGGAACAAAAAATTGTGAATATAGAATCTAGAGAGTCTACAGGGCATTTGGCAAAAATAATATCATCTATAATAATGTAGTTATAAAAGAAAAAAGTACAACAATCAGATAGCACTATACACCTATTAGAATGTTGAATATACAAAACATTGACAACACCAAATAGTGGCATAAATGTGGAGAAAGAAAAACTTTCACTCATTTCTGGTGGGAATGCAAAATAGTGTGACTATTTCGAAAGACAGTCTGAAATTTTCTTTTTTTATATAAATAACTTATTTAGGGGTACATGAACAGGTTTGTTATATAAGTAAATTTTGTGCCATGGGGGTTTGGTTTACAGATATTTCACCACTCAGACAATAAGCATAGCACCCAATAAGATAGTTTTTTGATCTTTACCCTAGTCCCTCCCTCCACCCTCAGGTAGGCCCTGGTGTTTGTTTTCCCCTTCTCTGTGTCCCCGTATGTACTAATGGTTTAGCTTCCACTGGTAAGCGAGAAAATGCAGTATTTAGTTTTCTGTTCCCACGTTAGTTTACTTAGGATAATGGCCTCCAGCTCTATTAATGTTGCTGCAAAGGGCATGATCTCCTTTTTTTTAATCACTGTGTAGTACTTGCATGTACTATACTGTCTTTATCTAGTCTACTGATGATGGACATTTACATTGATTCAATTTCTATACTATTGGGAATAGTGATGAGATGAACATACATGGCATGTGTCTTTATGATAGAATTATTTATTTTCCTTTGGGTATATGCCCAATAATGGGATTGTAGGGTCGAATAGTAAATCTGCTATGAGTTAGTGGACCAATCAACAAACTGCTTTCCACAGTGGCTGAGTTAATTTACATCTCTACCAGCAGTAAATAAGCATTCCCTTTTCTCCACAACCTCACCAGCATCTGTTAGTTTTTGACTTTTTAATAATAGCTATTCTGACTGTTCTGAGATGGTGTCTTAATTTGCATTTCTCTAGTGATTAATGATGTTGAGCATTTTTATATGCTTGTTGGCAATTTGTATGTCTTTTTTTGAAAAGTGCCTGTTCATGTCCTCTGCCCACTTTTTTGATGGGGTTGTTAGATTTTGATTGTTAATTTAAGTTACTTATAGATTCTGGATATTAGAACTTTGCCAGATGCATAGTTTGCTAGTGATTTTTCCAGTTCTGTAGGTTGCCTGTTTACTCAGGGGGGTAGTTTCTTTTGCTGTGCAGAAGCTCTTTAGTTTCATTATGTCCAATTTGTCAATATTTGTTTTTGTTGCAATTGCTTTTGGCATCTTCATCATAAAATCTTTGCCTGGCTCTATGTCTAGAATGGTATCTCCTAGGTTATCTTTCAGTATTTTTATAATTTTAGGTTTTTTTTTTTTTTTTTGACGGAGTCTCGCTCTGTCACCCAGGCTGGAGTGCAGTGGCGCGATCTCAGCTCACTGCAAGCTCTGCCTCCCGGGTTCATGCCATTCTCCTGCCTCAGCCTCCCGAGTAGCTGGGACTACAAGCACCCACCACAATGCCTGGCTAATTTTTTGTATTTTTTAGTAGAGATGGGGTTTCACCATGTTAGCCAGGATGGCCTCGATCTCCTGACCTCATGATCCACCCGCCTTGGCCTCCCAAAATGCTGGGACTACAGGCAAATTTTAGGTTTTAAATTAAGTATTCTATTAATCTTGAGTTGATTTCTGTATATGGTGCCAGGAAGTGGTCCAGCTTCAATCTTCTGCATATAGCTAGCCAGTTACCCCAGCACCATTTATTGAACAGGGGATCCTTTCTCCTTTGCTTGTTTTTGTCAACTTTATCAAATCTCAGATAGTTAAGGGTGTGCAACATTATTTCTTGACTTTTTTATTTTATTTTTTTATTTTACTGTAAGCTCTGGGATACATGTGCTGAACGTGCAGGTTTGTTACATAGGTGTACATGTACCATGGTGGTTTGCTGCACCTATCAACCCATCATCTAGGTTTTAAGTTCTGCATGCATTGGGTATTTGTCCTAGTACTCTCCCTCCCCTTTCTCTCCACCACCCGACAGGCCCCCGTGTGTGATGTTCCCCTCCCTGTGTCCATGTTTTCTCATTGTTCAGCTTCCACTTATGAGTGAGAACTTGCAGTGTTTGGTTTTTTGTTCCTGTGTTTATTCTGTTCAATTTGTCTGTGTGTCTACCATGCTGTTTTGGTTACTGTAGCCTTGTAGTATAGTTTGAGGTCAGGTAACATGATGCTTCTAGCTTTGTTCTTTTTGCTTAAGATTGCCTTGATTTCTACAAAACCAAACATGTTCTTACAATACAATCTAATGGTTCATGTTCTTTTGGTGTTTATCCAAATAACTGAAAACATTTTGTACACACTAACACCCGCACATATATGTTTACAGCAGCTTTAGTATAATTGTTAAAACTTGAAAGCAAGATTTCCTTTAGTAGATGAATAGATAAACTGTGGAATATTATTGAGTGCTAAACAGAAATGGGCTATCAAGACTTTAAAAAACACTGAAGAACCTTAAATGTATATTATTAAGTTAATTGAGCTAAACTAAAAAATCTACTATTGTAAAATGCCAGTTCATTGTCATTCTACAAAATGCAAAACTATAGAGACTGTAAATAGAATAGTGGTTGCCAAGGATTGAAGAATGGGATGGTTGAATGGGCAGAGCAGAGCTAATTTGTAGGACAGTAAACTTATTTGGTGTGTTACTATAATTGTGGACATATATTATTCTTTATCAACACCCATAGAATTTACAACACCAAGTGTGTATCCTAATGTGAACTATAAATGTTGGGTGATGAAATGTCCATGTAGACTCATTAGTTTTTACAAATGTACCACTCTACTTTGAAATGTTGATAATGGTAGAGTTGTGAGACTTCCCCCTTAGTTCAGCTAAAACGGGGTCCTTGTCACATGGCCACAAAGAATTAGGCTTGCAGATTATTTGAATGGGGAGAAAAATGGGACTTACTGGGCAAAAGTAAAATAAAATGGAAACAGGGACCCTCCACAAAGCCAGAGTCTCTGCTAGTGCACTTTCTGCCTCACAGATTGAATCCCAGATTCCACCAAGGAAGAGGAGGGGCCAGGCTCCTCTCTGCTGCAGAAAGCGCGAACTGCTGTGGCTCCATCCCAGCATGCACTCCTCCCAGTGCGCAGGCTGATAGGAGTTTCTCTGGGGACCCCTTTCCACCTGCTGTCTCATTCCCCCCTATGAAGAAGTACATAAAATAAGGATAAAGATAAGCACAAAGACCAATCTTAACTACTCCTTCCTGCTGAAGGGGGGTGTGATTTTGGGGAAACGGGCAGTTAGCTCTCTTTCAGAGGCCTATTTAAGGGTTCTGAGCAGAAGGGACCATTGTCAGAGGCTCCAGTTGCATGACCGTTTGAAGTTTGATGGCCCAAAAGCAAAAAGGGACAAACCAGGTTATTAGAAAACATGTATCAATAGGAAACAAAGGGAGGAGTAAGGACAGCTCAAAAATCCTGAGGCCTTTTACCAGTTTGCACAGAGAGAGACAGGCCAAAAGCTTGACTGGCAAAATCTTTACCCTTTTGCCGGCATGTTGGGTTTCTGCGTTCCCTTCCCCTGGGCCCAATCTTAAGTCAACCAGTTTAAGGTTTGGGAAATTAACTCTTTCCAGTTTGGAGGATGCATCTGAGGGTAGTGTTCCATAGTACTGAGATACTATTATTTATCTGTGAAGAGAGAATCAAGGAGAAAAAAGAAAGAAGGCATTTTTTTCAAAGGAGTCCCAGGGGTTCAGGATACATTAGAAAGGGGTACAGAACAAAGATGAATGGCTGCCCATCTATAAAAAGGGGAGCAGGCATCTCCGGTTTATTTATTTTCCTGGTAAATACCCAGGGTATGTGAGGAAGAGAAGGAAGAGCATCCTGTTTCCCTCTTCTGTCCTTGTATACCCCAGTCCCTGGTCCCTGTGACCTTGGCAGGCACCACCATGCGTGACAAAGCAGCTTGCACCCATGAAGCAGGGGGGCCTAGGGCATGGGAATTATCCCCTCTACCCATGTATGACCTATCTCCCCTGGCCCCCTATCTCCAAAGACCCCTGCAGTAGCCTTGAATTCCCTAGACCTCATTTATGCCATGGATACCAACATGGCCTCTATCCATGAAATTGGAAGCTTGGCTTAATCAAAAAGAATCAGCCATGGTCACCTGCACTGTGCCTTTTAACTACCATTATCATCTGTCCCTGTATCACTCAGATCCAGTTTCCTTCCTAGGGCTTCTCCCCAAAGCTTGGAATTGAGTTTGGGACAAAAATGTGTCTCGGGGGCGTGCACGGGCTTCTTATCATAAGCCAAAAGCTAAGGTGAAACTGTGAAACTGAGTCCTCCTCCAGCAATAGAGAGAAAAGGATGTCTTGTGACATGCCGAGATAACTAGTGGCTGTAGCTGTGCTTGCTAGGATTTGGGTGCATGGTGCTTGGCTTTGGTTAGCTCCCTTAGTCTTACTTTCCCCAAAGGAAACCTCCAAATCATGGGCATTCTATTTATTCCTACCACCTCGTAGGATTTGCAGGATAATTGCTCAGAACTAGAAGATTGATCCAGATATTTATATTACCTATCCCACTTGTTCTTTCTGAGCTACAGCTGGAGATTGCTGGTTGGTTCACAGGAACAAGTAGGGTTAGTCTAAAAATGTAGGCAAAAACTTAAAAGCAACTAATGGGTTTAGAATTTAATGGCAAATGTGTAAAAAGTTTTGAAACATAATTTCTCTTTCTCCAGTCCTCATTTTTGTTAGAACAAAATCATCATAAGACTGAGCTGTTTGCAAAGTAGACTTAAGTCTTATACTTGAACTGATCATTTGCATAAAGTGCAGCAAGAATAGTTATTTCTACATAGGCCTTTTCAGTGGACTTTGATGGTACACTGTTCCAAAAGGAATCTCAGAAAAGATCTTTCAAAGCTGAGTCCAGCCATGGGTTTATATCCTCAAATACCTGTGAGTTGGATGAATTTCTCCATTTTGTTTTTTGAAATGGAGTCTTGCTGTGACAAGACTGGAGTGCAATGGCACGATCTTGGCTCACTGCAGCCTCTGCTTCCTGGGTTCAAGCGATTCTCCTGCCCCAGCCTCCTAAGTAGCTGGGACTACAGGCACGAGCCACTTACTAAAATTTTTGTATTTTTAGTAGGGACAGGATTTCACCATATTGGCCAGGCTTGTCTTGAACTCCTGATCTCAAGTGATCTGCCCTCCTTGGCCTCCCAAAATGCTGAGGCTTTCTAATTACCTCTTATTAAAGAACACATTTTATTGTTCTTACACACCTTGCATGTAAACCTTACTTCCAGTAGTCTCAATTACATGTCTTAATGATAACTCCTAGCAATTTTTACATAAAATTGTGATTTTAATGTAAAACCTGATAAGTTGTTTTAATTGTGTGCTAGGTGCAGCCAAGGTTTGACTCCCAGAATAATTGTGTGGTTAGTTTCCTATGTTCCCGGCCTTACCAGTTGTGAAGCTGACAAGTCAGATAGTTCTCAAAACCCAAAAGGCATAACCTTAAAACACTTAGCAAACCCTGCATGTGACCTGCATAATTTAGTTCACCTATTTACATTTTGAGGACATCTGCTTTTTACCAACAATCTTTAAGGCTGTTTTTTATTTCTCAAAGTTTAAAATCATGTGAACTCAAAGGTACCACAGCTTTTATCTTTCCTTTGAAAAAAAAAAATTGATCCAAGTGCTTGTCTCCCTTTAGGCCAAATTAATGAGAGTTTTTTTTTTTTTTTTTTTTTTGGGGACTGAGTCTCACTCTGTCGCCCAGGCTGGAGTGCAATGGCAGGATCTTGGCTCACTGCAAGCTCCGCCTCCCGGGTTCACGCCATTCTCCTGCCTCAGCCTCCGGAGTAGCTGCTGGGACTACAGGCGCCCACCACCGCGCCCGGCTAATTTTTTGTATTTTTAGTAGAGACGGAGTTTCACCCTGTTAGCCAGGATGGTCTCCATCTCCTGATCTCGTGATCCATCCGCCTCGGCTTCCCAAAGTGCTGGGATTACAGGCATGAGCCACCGCGCCCGGCCAATTAGAGCTCTTTTTACAGACAGCATACACAACACATATATAGTTACAGAGAAAGGCAGAAGAAAACCCAGTTGCTGGTGGGACCCCTTAAGAGACAGGGCTAGGAAAACATGCAGATAACAAATCAGAAAGGGCTCATCCCCTAAGGCAGGATTGCTAAACAAAGCCTTGCCTCTGGGTTACAGACCACAACCCCATGATGTAAAACAAGTTGGAGGCATGCAGCGAAGTTTGATATGAACCATATAGACATGAAAAGCACACCAGATTGGCTACAGCTTAACACCAGCCTCACAAATCCTTTTTCACAATTAAAACTTCACAGAAAATGTTAACAGGGATCCTTATTGTTCCTAGCATAGCAAAACATCTTCTAAAAGGAAAAACCTCACTTAAAAGTTAATTGCTTATTGAGTGGAGAAAGGGAAGAAAAGAAGCAGTTTTAAAATGCCTGGGAAAGAACCTCTTATTCTTATGTAATTGGTTCTTCTACCAGGGTGAGAAGCTGAATTACTGTCCAATGAAGTTGAACCCCTTGGCTGGGTGAGGGGAAGAAGCTATGGATGTGTGGTGCTCCCCAGCCCCAGATGGGAGGGGAGTGGAAGTGAGGAGATGAGGGAAGCCACACGTAAAAAGGAAGGAAAAGGCCATGGAGACCGAGGCTGACCTTCTGAATCCCTGAGAGTGACAGGAGTGGAGGCATGGTATCCCCTACCCTCAGAAGTCCAAGGGTGAGGGCGGGTGTGGTGGCTCATGAATAATCCCAGCACTTTGGGAGGCCGGGATGGGTGGATCACCTGAGGTCGGGAGTTTGAGACCAGCATGGACAACATGGTGAAACCCTGACTATACTAAAAATACAAAAATTAGCCGAACACGGTGTCAGGCACCTGTAATCCCAGTTACTTGGGAGGCGGAGGCAGGAGAATCACTTGAACCTGGGAGGCGGAGGTTGCAGTGAGCCAAGACCGTGCCATTGCACTCCAGCCTGGGCAACAAGAGTGAAACTCCATCTCAAAAAAAAAAAAAAAAGAATTCCAAGGGGGAAAAGGCTTAGAAACGACAACGAGAGGTTTTCAGTCTGCATTTTACTCACCCCTTCTCAAGCCCCACGTCCTGGGCATCAAAGATATTATAGGACTTTCTTCTTAGTTTGGCTAAAAACAAGGTCCTTGTCACATGGCCATGAAAAATTAGGCTTGCAGATAATTTGAAGGAGGAGACAAATGGAATTTATTGGGCAAAAATAAAATAAACAGGGACACTCTGCAAAGCCAGGGTCCCTGCTGGTGCACTTCCCACGTCGCAAATTGAATCACAGGTTCCACCCAAGGGCAAAGAGGGGTCAGGCTCATTCTGCTATATATAGCATACACTTCTGTGGCTCCACCCCCAGCGTGCACTCCTCCCAGTGCACAGGCTCGTTGGAGTTTCTCTGGGGACCCCTTCCCACCTGGCTGTCTCAATAGAGGCTGTGTGTTTGTGAAGGCAGAGTATGTATAGGTAAGTTATTTGTACTTCCCCTCAATTTATCTGTAATTCTAAAATTTTTCTAAAAATACAGTGTAGTTATAAAAGAACTATGAAAAATATGTATTTGCAATATTTTTAATGCTTCCATATTTTTCTTTACCAGTGTTCTTTGTATTTTCATGGGGATTTGTTATTCTTTGTTTTCCATTGCTTTTAGCTTTATAAATGTCCTTTAGTATTTCTTGCTAGGTAAGATTGCTAATAATAAATTGTCTCATTTGTTGCCTATCTGGGAATGTTTGTATTTTAAATCTATTGCTGAATGTTAGATTTGACAAATGTAGAAATATTAGTTAAGAGTTTTATTTATTACATTTGTGCCCTTTGAATACGTAATCCCACTGCCTTTTGGTCTTCAGTGTTTCTCATAAGAAGTCAGTTGTTAATCTTAGTGAAATTTGCCTGTAAGTAAGGAATCTTTTTTTCTCCTCCTATCAAGATTTTTCTCCCCATATTTACCTTTGGGCATTTTACCTATATTGTATCTGAATGTGGATCTCTTTGTTTTTACCTTAATTGAAATTTGAAGAGCCTTTAGTGTGTAGTTTAATGTTTTTCAATAAATTAGGGAAGTTTTTAGTCATTGTTATTTTATTAACACATAATAAAAATACACATTTATAGTGTACATGTGATGTTTTGTTACATGAATTCAATGTGCAATGATCAATTCGGGGAATTTGGAGTATCCATCACCTCAGTTATGTATTATTTCTATATTTTGGAAACCCTTCAATTCCTCTCTTATAGCTGTTTTAAAATATATAAATATTATTTTTGACTATAGTCTCCCCACTCTGCTGTTGAACATTATAACTTATTCTATCTAAATGTGATTGAACACATAGACCAACCTCTCTTTACCCCTTGTCTCACACACAGTATGATTCTACTTTCCATCTTCATGTTATGATCTTTTATAGCTCCCACATATGAACAAGAACATGGGATGTATGTATCTCCATGCCTGGTTTATTTCACTGAACGTACAGACCTCCAGTTTCATCCATGTTGCTGCAACAACAGAATTTTATTTTTTAAGACAAAGTACTATTTCATTGTATATATATACATTACACATTCCTATTCAATTTGTCTATTGATAGACACTTAGGTTGATTCCATATTTTAGCTATTGTGAATACTGCTGCAATAATTATGTGAGTGAATAGATCTCTTTGATATACTGACTTCTTTTCCTTGGGATAAATACCTAATAGTTGGACTGATGGATGATGCAGTAGTTCTATTTTTTAGTTATTAAAAAAACTCAATGGTGTTTTCCATAGTGGCTGTACTAATTTAGATTTCCACTAACAATATATAAGAGTTCACTTTTATCAGCATAGGGTTTTTGGCATTTTTATTAATAGCCATTCTAACTGGGGTAAGTTGAATTCTCATTTTGGATTTGATTTGCATTTCTCTTATGCTTAGTAATGTAGAGCTTTTTTTTTTCATATATACCTGCTAGCCATTTGTATGTCTTCTTTTGAGAAATGTCTATTTACATATTTACCACTTCTTAAATTGTGTTATTTGATCATTATTTACTGTTGAGTTTTTAAATTCCATGTACATTCTTGATATTATTCACTTGTCAGATGAATAGTTTACAGCTATTTTCTCTCATTCAACAGGTTGTCTCTTCACTCTGTTAACATTTTGCTATGCTATGTAGAAGCTTTTTTATTGTAATATAATCCAATTAGTGCCGAGCCTGTCCTGCAAACTCTGGCCAAGTGACAGATGAAAGAAGTATGCTGACACAGGTATTTTGACTGACAGCGCAGCTAGGGGACTGCACCCCTCAGCACCACCAATGAGAGTGCCGCAGCCACCGAGAGAGTGCTGCAGCCACCAAGAGAGTGCAGTCCCCATAAGCCAGCCCTGCTCACATTTATTTACTACAGATTTAATGACAAAGGCTTGGAGAAAATACAATTTATGGGTAATAAACATTGTCGACCACCCCCCCCCCCCACCCCCAGTAGAGAGCAGTCCTGTGCCCGAATGGTCAAAGGTTGGTTTCTGGAGACAGGAATAAACAAATTTACCTAGATAAGTTCGTTTACATTCCCTTGTTATCTACCCTTTGCTCTCAGGCTCCGGATAGGAGAATTTGGCTGCCTTCAGCCATAATTCTTTCCCGAAGTTTTGCAAAACCTCCCAGCCATCCAAGAAGGTTTGCATCTTTCCCTATAACTTTTTCTTACAACTTTTTCCACCATCCTGACCAAACTCCTACGAATTAGTCTATTTTTGTTTATGTTGCCTGTACCTTTGAGCTCTTAGCCATGAACTATTTGCCTAGACCAATGTCCTGAAGTGTTTGGTTTTGGTAGTTTTATAGTTTCAGGTGTCACATTTAAGTTGTTACTCCTTATTAAGTAGATTTTTGTATATGGTAAGAGATAGGGGTCCAGTTTTATTCTTTTGCACATGGATATCTAATTTTCCCACCATTATTTATTGAGGAGGGTGCCCTTTTCCCAATTTATGTTCTTGGTGCCTTGTAAAAAATCAGATAGCTGCACATATATAAATTTATTTCTGGGTTCTACATTCTGTTCCACTGGTCTATATGTCTTGTTTTTTGCCAGTGCCATAATGTTTTGGTTACCCTAGACTCGTAATGCATTTTGAAGACAGGTAGCATGATATGTCCATCTTTGTGCTTTTGGCTCAGAATTGCCTTGGCTGTATGAATTTTTTGTTGTTGTTTCATATATATTTTAGATTTTTTTTTATTTCTGTGAAAAATGACATCAGTATTTTGATAGGAATTGCGTTGAACATGTATATTGCTTTGGGAAGTGTGGCCATTTTATGGTATCAATTGTTCTAATTCATGAGCATGGAATGTCTTTTCATGTGTTTGTTTCTTCTGATATTTCTTTCATCAGTATTTTGTAGTTTTCTTTTTAGAGGTATTTCACCTTGTTAAATTTATTTTTAGGTTTTTTATTATTTGTGTAGCTATCATTAATCCAATTGTTTTCTTGATTTCTTTCTTAGATAATTCAGTATTGGTACACAGAAATTCTACTAATTTTTTATGCAGATTTTATATCCTGACACTTTGCTTACTCTATTAATTATATCTAGGAGTGATGTGATGAAGTCCTTAGATTTTTCCTGATATAAGGTCATAATATCAGCGAAAGAAAACTATTTGAATGCATCTTTTTCAATTTTAATGACTTTCATTTCTTTCTCTTGCCTGGTTGCTCTGACTAGAACTTCTAGTACTATATTGAAAAGGAGTATTGAAAGTGAGTATCCTTGTCTCATTCCAGTTCTTAAAGGAAATATTTTTAGCATTTCCTCATTCACTATAAGCCATGGGTTTGTTATATACGGGCTTTATTATGTTGAGATATGTTCCTTTTAAGCTTAGTTTGTTGGGAGTCTTTATCATGAAGGGATGTTAAATTTGATTAAATGCTTCCTCTGTGTTTGTTGAGATGGCCATATGATTTTTGTTATTCATTCAGTTGATATGATGTATCACTTTTTTTTTTTTTTTTTTTGAGATGGAGTCTTGCTCTGTCGCCCAGGCTGGACTGCTGTGGCATGATCTCAGCTCACTGCAACCTCCACCTCCTGGGTTAAAGCTACATGGGATTCTCCTGCCTCAGCCTCCCATGTAGCTGGGACTACAGGCATGTGCCAACATGCCTAGCAAATTTTTATATTTTTAGTAGAGACAGGGTTGATCATATTGGCCAGGCTATGTATCACATTTTATGATTTGCAAACATTTCATCATTCATGCATCCCTTGGATAAATCACACTTAATCATCGTGTATTATATTTCTAATGTGTTGTTGTATTCACCTTGCTAGTATTCTGTTAAGAATTTTTCCATCTATGTTCACCAGAGACATTGACACGTAAGGGGGTGTGTGTGTGTGTGTGTGTGTGTGTGTGTGTGTGTGTGTCTGGTTTTATTATGGTTATTGCTGGCCTTGTAGAATGTTTAAGGAAGAATTTTTTCCTCTACAAAGTTTTGGAATAGATTGACAATATTGGCGTTAGTTCCTTTCTTGAATCTTTGATAGAATTCTACAGTGAAGCAATCCAATCTCGAACTTTTCTTTGTTGAAAAAAATTTAATTACTGATCTATTACTTATTAATAGTATGTCCAAGTTTTCTATTTCTTCTGGAATCAATCTTGATGGGTTGTATTTGTCTAGAAATACATTCATTTTCTCTTAAGATTTTCCAGTTCATTAGTGTATAATGGTTAATGATAATCTCTAATTATCCTTTTGTATTCTGTATTATCAGTTGTAATGTCCAATTTTTCAAGTTTGTTTATTGGGTCCTTTCTTAGTCTAGCTATTTGTTTTTCTATTTTGTTTTGTATTGCTTTTTTTAGTCTTTGTTTTGTTTAGCTTTGGTCTGATTTTAATCACTTTTTCCATTTTACTTATTGGTTTGTTATTAATTTTCTAGTTCCCTGAGGTGTATTATCAAAGTGTTAATTTGAAATCTTTCTACTTTTTTGGACAAAGGTGTTTACTGCTATAAACTTTACTCTTAACATTACTTTTGCTGTATCCCAGAGGTTTTCATATGTTGTGTTATCATTTTCATTTGTCTCAATAATTTTTTTTCTTTCCACTTTAATTTCTTTTTGACCCAATGGTCATTCAGGAGCATGTTGTTTAATATACATGTATTTGTACAGTTTTTTAAGTTTCTCTTGTTATTGGTTTCTAGTTTGATTTCATTGTTGTCTGAGAAGTTGCTTGATATATTTTTTAAAGTTGTTGAGACATATTTTGTGTTCTAACATATGGTGTATTCTGGAGAATATTTTATCCATTGATGAAAAGAATGCCATACAAGTGTCTTTAAGGTCCATTTGGTGCAGTATGCAGTTTAAATCCAATGTGGGTTTTGTTGTGGTTGTTGTTAATTTTCTATTTAGGTTATCTGCCTAATACTGAGAGTGAGGTGTTAACATTCCGAAGTATTAATGTATTGCAGTCTATCTTTCTCTTTAAGTCTAATACTATTTGCTTTATATATCTGGGTGATCCAATGTCAGGTGCAAATTAGTTTAAAATTTTTTACATCCTCTTTCTTCATTAAGTAAAAATCTTTGCTCTTATCTTTATTTTTAAATTAATGTCTGTTTAATCTGACATAAGTAGATCTCTTCTTTTATGGCTTTTGTTTTGTTTGCATGGAATATTTTCTATACCAACGAATTACTTATAATCTAAATGTGTCTTTACAAGTGATATGAGTTTCTTATTGGTAGCATAGTTGAATCAGCATATAATTTTATTTTTACCCCATTGAGTCAGTCTATATCTTTTAAGTGATTAGTTTAATCAGTTTATATTCAATGTTATTATTACTATGTGAGGGCTTATTCCTGTTATTTTATAAATTGATTTCTGGTTCCTTTGTATATAGTTTATTCTTTTCTTTCTTATTTTTTATTATTGTGGTTTGGTTGTTTTTTGTAGTGATAACATTTGAGTTCTTTCTCTCCCTTATTCATGTATTTGCTCTAGATTGAGTTTTATATTTTTATGTATTTTCAGGAAGTTAGGTATCATTCTTTTATATCCAGGTGTTGGATTCCCTTAAGCGTTTCTTATAGGGTAAATCTAATTTCAATGAATTTCCTTAGATTTTGCTTATCTGGGAAAGATTTGTTTTTTCTTTCAGTACTTTTAATATATCATCCTATTCTCTCCTGGCCTGTAATTTCTGCTGAGAAATCAACTATTGGTAGGCTAGAGGTTCACCTTATAAGTGACTAGTTGTTTTTTTCTTGGTGATTTTAGAATTCTATTTTTGTGTTTGACTTTTGAAAGTTCAACCCCTGTGGAATGAAAAGATCTGTTTGAAATGTTTCTATTTGGCAATCGCAGCTTTTTATACATGAATGCCCAAATGTTTTACTAGAGTTGAAAAGTTTTTAACTACCATTTTGTTAAGTAGGTTTTATGTCCTTTATATTTCATCTTTAACTTCTGGTATGTCCAAAATTTGAATACTTGATTGCTTTATGGTGTCACATATGTCATATTGGCTTTATCAATTTTTATTTATTTATTTACATTTATTTTTCTGCAACAGGTTTGTTTCAAGAGACTTGTCTTTAAATTCTGAAATTCTTTCTCTGCTTGATTTAATCAATTGTTGAAGCTTTAGAATGTATTTTTTAAATTAATTCAATGAATTCTATATTTCCAGAATTTCTTTTTGGGTCTTTTTTATGATATCTATCTTTTTGGCAAACTTTGTATTTATATTTTAAATTCTTTGTCTCATTTCTTTGTATTGTATTTCTGTATTCTCTTGTAAATCATTAAGCTTCTTTAGTGGCAGTATTTTGAAATCTTTTTCCAGGATTTTATAATTATTTTTTATTGAAATCTTTTGTTGGGAAATTACCCTTTTTGAAAGCATTTTATTTTATTTCTTTTTCATGTTTTTTGTGTGTTTTTACATTGATATTTGCACATCTTATATAACAACCACTTCCTCCAATTTTTTGAATTTGCTTTACCATAAACTGGTGAGATTTAGTGTAGTGTGGGCTGTGGTGGCCTCCCTTCAGGAAGGCATGGTTGCCTCCACCCAGCAAAGTCATGGGTGAGGAGAACTGCCATAATATATCTGAAAAGTATGATCTTCATCAAAATGTATCTGGAAGGCAGGACCTCCACACCATTTTTCCTGGAGGGCAAAGCGTTAAGCCAGAGAATTAAGCTTGAAACTTAAAGTCTAATAAAATTTTCTCCATTGGGTTTTGGACTAATTTAGAACCTGATCACTATTTTATGCTTTCCTATCCTACCTTTAGGAATGAAAAAGAATATTTCTCTCCTATTGCACCGTTGGATTTGGAAAGCAAGTAGCGTTGATGTCACAGGTGCTCAGTTGGAGAAAAAAAAATTGTCTTAAAAAGAAATGTACTTTCATTCTCACCCATATCTTGTCTAAATAACATTTATATGAGACTTTAAACTTATACTGATGCTGAAATGAGTTAATACTTTTGGGCTACTAGGATAGGCTTCTGTTTTGCATAACAGAAGAATATAAATTATGGAGAAGCAAGTGTGGAATGTGATGGTGTGAATATTTGTGTCCTTCAAAATTTATATGTTGAAATCATAACCCCCAAGGTGATGATATCATTATATGAGACCTTCGGGAAGTGGTTTAGGTCACAGGGGTGGAGCCCTCATGAATGGGAACCAGAAAGTGAGCCCTCACCAGACAGTGAGTCTGCTGGTGACTTGATCTTGGACTTCTCAGCCTCCAGAACAGCAAAAAATAAATTTCTGTTGTTTATAAGCTACCCAGTATATGATATATTATTACAGCTATTGCAATGGACTAAAATGGGGGGCCAGGGATGGAATGTTTATATCCTTTACCCCAATTTATATATTGAAATGTAACACCTATTATACTGTTTGTTAGAAGGTGGGACTTTGGAGAAGTAATTAGGTTATGAGGGTAGGGCCCTCATGAATGAAATTTAGTGCTTTTATAAAAGAGACAGACCTCTCTCATGACTTCCACAACATAAAATTATAGTGAGAAGATGGCTATATATCATCCAGGAAGCAGGCCCTCATCAGATAGGAAATCTACTGGCATTTTGGTCTTGAACTTCCAGGGCTACAGAACTGTGAGATATAACTTCCTGTTGTTTATAAGTTACGCAGTTTATCTTATTTTATTATAGAAAACAATACAAGCTAAGACAGTTTTTTCTTTTAGTGTTTCAAAGTAATTAATTTGTATTTCATAATTTCAAATTAACTGGATTTATCTGCATATATGCCTAGTATTTTTTCTAGTATCATTTTTCTAACCCTTTTACATGATATATATGTATCTATATTCATAACTTTAATCATATGTTCCATATATTTATGCATGCAGTTTGTCTTTGTTATTTATTTAATATATAAATTACAGTTGTTTAAAATTTCTTCTCTTATTTTTCCAACCCTTGGTTCATCTTTGAGCGTGATTGTGTTGGTTGCTTATAACTTGACAAAATGCTCTTATCTTAATAGAGTACTGCCAATCAGGCATGGTGGCTCATGCCTGTAATCCCAGCAATTTGAAAGGCTGAAGTGGGAGGATCACTTCAGGCCAGGAGTTCAGGACCAGCCTGAGCAACACAGAAAGACACTGTCTCTACAAACAAGCAACAAAACAAACCCACCTTAACCAGGTAACCAGGCATGGTGACATGTGGCTATCGTCCCGGCTACTTGGGAGTCTCGGGGAGGAGAATCTCTTGATCTCACGAGAGTGAACCAAAATTACACCACTGCACTCCAGCCTAGGTGACAAAGGAAAGCACTGTCTCTAAAAATTGCTGAATATGTTGTATAAGAGAAAAAATAGAGCACAATATAAATAGTATCTATCCTCAGAAATTGGTATGGCTTTGATTATCTGAGGCCAACAGTGGAGTCAAGAGTTGATTCAATCTAGTCAGGAGTTAAATTCAATTTGTTTTATTTTTGCTACATTTATGTTCAGTGCAACGCAGCCTTAAAATTCTTGAAGTAGTGGTTTGTTGTTACCTTGTGCATAGTGTGGAAACCTTAAACCAAAAGATTTTTCTCAATGTTTCTCTTCTATCCCGAAATTTCAGCAGCCGTTGCATTCTTAAACCACAGAGCAGTTCTTCTCTACTTTACTCTCCCACATCTCTAGATGTAGGCTACCACTTTTGTTACTTATTCTCAACCTAGTCGTATAGCCAGAAGAGATTCTTGTCTCTCCTTTTTTTTTTGTCTCAATTTTAGACAGGTTCTTTGTGCCTAAGACTTGGGGTAAGGCTCTTTTATTCTTCTTATTGCTTCTACCTCTCCCTGCATGCCAATTAAAGTATGTCTTGTTTTTGTTTTGGGTCTTGATCAGGAGAGTTTCCTGACTCTTATCACTGGTAGCAGGTATCTGCTTTGTATTAGCACAGAATCCTGAATCAATTAGAATTTTTCTGTACCTTTCCCAGAGAAAAATAATTTTTGGTTTTGCTCCTCTCCAAGTAGAAATAGATATTGTTGTGAAGCAAACAGAATTTTTAATAATTTCCTTAGAGGAAGATATGTTTTACATCTAACCCAGCCATAGAAACAGTGGAAGTTTGCCTGATCATTGAAACCAAGGGAGTTTCCTGTCTCTCCCACATCAGCTTAATGTTTTCTCTTTTTATGAGAAAACTGTCCTAGTAAGTGTGTGCAGAGTTTTCTACCAGTGTGCTACTGATAGTAACTTATTTTATAGTTTTCTGTCCTACCCCAATCTTTCTCTTGAGAACTTGATGAGTGCCTATAAAAGACAGCTTGTCAGTGAATGCAAACTCCCATTGTGTCTGGTGGTGGCAGTTATTCTAAAGGGATGTTTGACATAACTCATCCTTTAAGAATTAATATCATTTTAGTTGATTTCTTATAATCTACTGTTATGGTACTACATCTTTTCATGCCTGGTTAAAGATGAAACAGTCTGTGTGTCCTGTCTCTTCTCAGAGGGGCCTGCTGTACTTTCAAGTTTCATTTAACCTTGTTTCCATAAGACCCCATCTATCTGAAGGGATCATAAAAGTTATTAGTTTCATAATTTTGAGTTTTTTTCCAATGTTATTAGCATTGTGGCAACATTCTCTTTGATACACCCTAAACAGCAGAAAATAACACTTGAATTTACCTGTAAGATCCTCCAATGTTTAGCCTTCTCCTATTTCTCCAACAGCACTTTAGGCCACTTCTTTCAACACACTCCCCCAATGACATGCTATGTTTTTTGACACATAGTTTATCATAGTTTAATTCTTTTCATCACAGATTGTTGAATTATTCTGATATTACTGACTTCAATGCTCTTCACAAATCCCTTCACCCAGTTAACTCTCATATACAATTAAGATTTGGATTCAAATATTGTATTAGTCTGGGGTCTTCAGATAAACAGAACAAAAAGGAAAAAATGGATAGGATTATAAGAAACTAGCTCACATGGTTATGGAAAGTGAGAAGTCACAATATCTTCAGTTGGCAAGTTGGATACCCAGAATAGCCAATAGTATAATTTCAGTTCAAATACAAACACCTGAGAACCAGGAGAGCCAATGTTGTAAGCTCTAGTCTGAGTCTGAGGCCAAAGGCAGAAGAAGACTAACGTCTCAGCTCAAAAACAGTCAAAGAGAGAAAGAAAATTATTATTTACACAGCCTTTTGTTCTATTGAGGACTTCAATAGATTGGATGAAGGGCATATAACTTAGGAAAGGCAATCTGTTTACTCGGTTTACTGATTCAAATGTTAATCTCATCCAAAAACACACTCGAAGACACACTCAGAATAATGTTTAACCAAATACCTGAGCAACCCTCCTCCACTCAAATTGACACATAAAAGTAACCATCACAATTTCAAATATCTTCAGTTTAGCACCCATGCACATCTCCTTAAATAATACTAAATCTCTAAGTAAAGATGATAACAAGGTCAGAATCCCACTTAACATAATACAGTTTTCCAGCGTACAACTGAAAACACCTATTAAAATGTGTTTTCCTCAGAATAAAAATGGTAGATTATGTCTTGCTTGCTTTACTTCTTGATGTCTTGTACACTAAATAAAATAAAGTAAAACTGACAGTACCTTACTTAAATACTGTGATAACAAGTGCATACCTCTTATGTCACATAACGAAGGAATAAGAAAGATAAGAAAACAACTATATATGCATACATATATGTGTGTGTATGTGTACATTTATGACAAAATAAGAAATACTCATGAAAATTTGAGTCCTCATTTCTTGGACTGATCATACAGTCATAGTTGAAATTGATAACTACTCTCCCCCACTGTCCATTGTCTATATCCTTTAACTTCAGGAAACACATCAATTCATTGTAGATATTTATCTGGTAGAGTGACTCAACACTTCCTGAAAGCTCTGGGCCACTAGTAGTTCTGCAAGAATTATGTAATTGCAGTTTTCCATTAACATTGATGATAGGGTCCGGTAAAACTAAGATATCCTCAGAGATCTTCTGTACCATAGACATACTGTTCCTTACCTCCATTATGGAGCAACAGTCCAATTTCTCTTTGGTGGTCAGGAGCAATCACTTCAGCCAGCACTGTAACTCCCTTCTTTGCCTGCTGACTGAGAGGCATGAGGAGTTAAAAGTGGCCAGGTAGAAGGCTTAACATCCAATTAAACAGAAATATTGTTGGCTCTCCCAGTGGAAGCATTCTTCTCTCTGGAACTAAGGCCACCAGGCCAGTAGAGCATAAAGTCATAGAAACAGGAAGAAAATATTTTGCTATTGGGCACTAAAGTATAGTAAGTGGTTTCAACTCCCGTTTCTATCTCTTAATTCCTGGACCCATAAATCCTGGGTATGGAAGAAACATCCAACGCTGATTCAGAACATATGCAATGTCCTGGAGAACTATGTTTATACCCTGCCAGGTACAGCCACCTAGAAAGTGCTGTAGCTGAGTTGTTAAAAGGCCATTTCACTATTCTATTAAACGTTAGCTGCTTAATGATGGTGAGAACATGGTAAGACCAGCAAATTTTATAGACCAAATGTAGCAATTATTTTGCCATAAAATCAGTTTATTCATCAGAAGCATACTGTGCGGAATACCATGATGATGGATAAGGCATTCTGAAAGTTCACTAATGGCAGTTTTGGCAGAACTATTGCATGCAGGGAAGGCAAATTTATATTCAAAAGTAAGTTTCTATTACAGTAAAACAAAACACTACTCTTTCTATAATACAAATAGCTGTATTTAACTTGTTATCAGGTAGCTGCCTAATCACTGTAAAAAATGGTGACATATTAAGAATTCAGTGTTGGTTTTTGCTACTGGCTGATTGATCATTCAGCCATGGCCATAGCCAGTTTGGCCTTGGTGAGTAAAATTTATATGGCTGAACCAATGTATAACCTTCATCTCTGCTATCATGGCCACTTTGCTTATGAGCAGGAGCAGCTGTGGCTGAGAAAAGAGGCTGACTAGTATCCAAGTGTAATGATTAAAATCCTCCACTGATGAGGTAATTCTTTGCTGAGCATTCACAGGGGGCACAAATATTTTCATGGTTTTTTTGCCCATTCAGGAAGATATACCCACATATCTCTTCTCCTAATTTTTTGTCACCATTTATTCAATCATGTTGGCTGTGGTTTGGATGTGGTTTGTCCTTGATAGAACTCATGTTGAAATTTAATTGCCAATATAATCTTGTTAGGAGGTGGGGCCTTTAAGAGGTTATTAGGTCTGTGAGATAAATTAATTTCTTCTTGCAAGATTGGGTTAGCTCTTGTAGGAGCAGATTGTTACCAAAAAAAGTCACCCCTCATGTTTTGTCCTTTTTGAACTCCTGCTTCCTCTTCTACTTCTCCGACATCTTATGACACAGCACAAGGCCCCCAAAAGAAGCCAACCAGATGTGGCTGCCTATTCTTGCACTTTCCAGCCTCCATAATTATGAGCCAAAAGAATCCTCTTTTAAAATATAAACTACCCAGTCTCAAGTATTCTGTTGAAGCAACACAAAACAGGCAGAGACAATATTCCTTCCAAGTCCCTGGCCATCCAGACAACTATTGGCCACAGTCCATTAGTTGGTATAGTTTAACATCTGGTCATTTCTCCTTCCAAGAAAAGTAAACAACCAGGTGCACTGCTCAAAGTTTTGTCTACTAAAAGAATTTCCATTTACTATCATTTCTTAGGGATGTGCAAGAAAGGCACTGTTGGGTGGTACTTATAAATTGTACAGAACTAACTGCAAATAAGGCTCAATTTTTTTTTCATCTGTCGACTAGTTGCAGGAGACTTCTTATGAGGCCATAGGTGCAGGTTAGGAGAGAGAAAGCAGTGTAGCAGGAGTGGGAACCATGAACATTTGGGCCATTTTTTCATGTAACTTTTATTTATGTGTTCAGGACCTGCTCAGGCCCATTCATGTATATACTACTTCCATTTGATTAAGGAGTGCTGCTCTGAATACCAAAATGTGTGGTTTTCTGGGTGAGATAGTATCAGGTTTATGATGGGCAGCTCAGGCCACATGGTAACTTAGTGACCCATGGTTAAGTTTTAATCCCTTCCAGACTCAGTAGCAAGCCAAGAGCTTTTACTCCAAAGGAGAGTAGTTATCTATGGGTGAAGGTATAGCATTGCTCCAAAATCCTAAAGGCTTAAACTATAATTCATACATATAGATACCTACCTAAGGCTCAAAACAACTTATGCATGTGCCACTGACACTTCAAGCATCATTGGATCTGCTGAATCATATGGTCCAAGTGGTAGAGCATCTTACACACTAGTCTGGACCTTTTGAATAGCCTTTCTTATTCTGAGCACCCACTCAAAACTAGCAGCTATTTAAGTCACTAAGTAAATAGACCAGAGGAACACATCCAGATGAGGAATATGTTGCCTTTTAAATTCAAATAGGTCCACTAGACATTGAGCCTTTTATTAGGTTATAGGAGAGGCCAGATACAGCATTTTATCCTTCAGCTTAGACAGAAAATTTTGACATACCCTACATCACTGGATCCATACAAATTTCGCTGAGGTAGAAGGCCCCGAATCTTTTCCTGATTCATTTCCAAGACCCTGACATGCAAGGATCCAAACTATGTTGAATGTAGTTGCTATTTCTTACTCACCCCAATCAGCATAATGTCATCAATGTAATGAATCAGTGTGTTATCCTGTGGAAGAGGAAGGTCGTCAAGATCCTTGAAAACTAAATTAAGAAATAGGACTAAAGAGTTGATATACATTAGAGGTAGGACAGTGAATGTGTATTGCTGATCTTGCTAGCCGAAATCAAACTGCTTCTGATACACCTGATGATAGGTTAAGATAAAAAGGCATTTTCCAGATAATTAGCTACATACCATGTGACCAGAATGTGTTAATTTTTTCAAGCAATGAAATTGCATTTGGTACAGCAGTTGCAATTAGAATCAACATCTTGTTAAGCTTACAATAATTCACTGTCAATATTCAAGATTTGTCTGTCTTCTGCACAGGACAAATAGGATATTTGAGTAGGAATATTTCCTGCATCTCTCAAGTTTTTGAGAGTGACACTAATCTCTGTAATATCTTCATGAATGCAGTATCGCTTTTGATTTACTAGTTTTCTAGGTAGAGGCAGCTCTAATTGCTTCCACTTCATCCTTCCTATCTTAATAGCCCTCACTCCACAGGTCAGGAAACCAATATGAGAATTCCACCAGTTGCTGAGTAGATTTATTTCAGTTTTGCATTCTGGGACTAGAAAAATAATCACAAGCTGGGTTAAAAGATACACTAGTCCCTTTTAGAAGTGGACCTGAGCTAAAAATCCATTTAAATCCTGACATCCATAAGTTCCTACTCCAACCACTGGACCGCAGTGATCTTTTAAATCTCCTGATATAAATGCCAGTTCAAATACAGTACCCAGTAGTCCCCAGAAGGTGTGTTTATTTATTTATTTTTTTAAAATATAACATTACCCTGGCAATAGGCCACAGGCCTTTTTGGGTAAGGCAGGAAGAAAGATTAACAATATAATTTTTGACCATATCCCTTGGTTCTTCCTCAAGTGAACGCAGCCTCCTCCACTTCACTAGGGAGATTCTAAGTCTGTAAACTAACTTAGATGTGGAAATTGATTGAGAGGCAATGACTCTCTGTTTATATAATGTGAGTGTCACCACTTGTCCCTTGAGACCCTATTATCCCATTACTTCTGTTACATTTAAGATTTCCAATTAAGTGACAGCATTTCCCAGTGTAAGGTCTGGCCTGTAGGGATGAGTGATTACAGAGCTCATCTAAAGTGGTGATGCTTCCCTTATAAATATATTTTACCCAGTATTTCTGAAAAGTATGTCTTCTGAACCCTCTAAGGGTGGGACGATATTAAATGAAAAATCCACTCCAACATACTAATATCCCTTAGCCTTTGAATACCTTTCTGCACATTAAACCAAGGAATCAGCTTTTCTAATTTTCTCATGCTTAGTGAGCTTGTATTAATAAATTTGGCCTGATCTAACTTTATGTTCCTTTTACCATTATGCCAAACCCACAACATGTATTCTCATATATATTTCCCAAATTTCTATCTTTCTCTCTCTCTATTATATATATATAATACATATATAATATTATATATATATAATACATATATAATATAATATATATTATAATATAATATATATTATATTATATATTATATATATAACTCAGGTACTTCATTTGGAATATAGTGAAACTCCTCTTGAGTCACACTCACCTTTATGCACCTGCTGAGATTTGAGTTTAGTTAAATTTCTTATTAAAATTTATTGGAATTCTCAAATATGAGATTCTGTTGGAATTCTCATATTGGTTTCCCTTGCTTTAGAAGAAAAAAGTGTCATGTGAGTCCATCTAGAGGAAAATTAGCATTATATTGTATGGCCACAGCCTGGGAAGGCCATTACCGTTTCCTCAGGTAATCTAAGGGTTAATCTCCTCAGACAAGTGTGCAGAGGCTGCTACCACTAAGGCTGCAGAGGTTGCTTCTTCTAGGGTTTTGTAATCTGTTTCTTCTCTAATTTTGGAGGATATATCCACTGGGAGTGAGGACTTCTACTGACAAAGAAGATACATCAAAATTCAGGGGTTTAATGTTCCCAATTTTGTCAGAGTGTTTCCATGCATCCTCATTTCCATTGGTCACATTATTTTCCAATCAATGCCCTCTTTTTAGCAATAGACACCGTGTAATACTGGGGATTCAACTTGTAATTCAGCCAGATACAGGATGAGATTAGTATTTTCAGCAATTTCAACATTGTGGTTACAAAATAAGAGTTTCCTTCATGGTACACATAGAAGGTCATTTATGTGGTGGTTTAGCTGCGAATTTAAATACTGAGCTCATTTTTTTCTTTCCCCACTTACTCCAGAAACATTAAAAGCAACCATGCAACCTCATTATATTTGTTAGCATTCCAAAAATATTTCAAAGGGCAGTATGAACAGTCACCCAGCTCCTTGCTTCTTATAAGTGGTTGATTAGGAGTATCCAATGAAGATATTTTGAACATCTCTATTTCCACACTATGCCATGCACTATCAGCACTCTCTTTACTACTGGAAATACAGCCACGGTCTTTTAAAATCTAATTAGACTAGAGGGAAATTTCCAGAAACTCCAGAACCAATTTTAAAAACTCACCTTTAAAATTATCTTCCCATAAAACCACTCTTGGTACCAAAATCTGTAATAGTCCGAGTTCTTCCAAGAAACAGAACAAATTTGTGTGTGTGTGTGTGTGTGTGTGTGTGTCTGTGTATGCATCTGCACGTGTGTGTGTGAATGTTTGTATGCACGTATGTATAAAGTCATTTATTTTAATAAATTGTTTCACACACTTATGGAGGTAGAGAAGTACCAAGATCTGCATTTAGCAAGTTGGAGAAACAGGAGAGCTGTGGCATAGTTCCAAGTAGACTCTGAAGGCCTGAGAACCAGGAGAGCAAATGGTGTAAGTTTCAGTCTGAGTCCAGGTCTGAAGGCAGGAGAAGACCAATGTCCCAGCCTGAAGGCAGTCAGGCAAAAAGAGTAAACTTTTCTTTTTTACTCAGCCTTTTGTTCTGTTGAGGCCTGCAAATAATTGCATGAGGGCCACTCACATTGGGGAGAACAATATGCTATGTCAATCTACAAATTCAAATGTTAATATTTTCCATGAACACCCTCACGGACACACCCAGAATAATGTTTAAGCAAATATCTGGACACCCCATGGCCCAACCAAATTGACACATAAAATTAACCACCACAAATATTGCTACTTCCTCCAGGTAATACTGACGTTAAAAGCCAGTGTCAGTTCTCTGTTATATGCCTTTATAGAATCATGCAATTCCTTGCGGTTGGATCATACCTCTGAATTATATTTGCATGTGTGTGTGGTAATTTAATTAATGCATTTCTGAATGCCTGTATGAGTAATTTCATGAAAGCAGAGTCCACTCCTTCTTACAGTTTTACCTTTAGTTCCCAGTCTGTGTGTGTGTGACACAAAGCAAGCACTGAAAAAAACCTGTTTAATAAATTACTGAGTATCGATGTGCATGTCTTTCAAGACTTTTAATATTTTACTTTATGTAACATGTTTGTGGGGTGATGTAGGGGAAGATGTAGTTGTCAATAATGTGATAACCAGAGATATGAGATAAAAACTCCCAGAAACTGAACACAAGCATGAAATAAACAGATTCAGTTTAGGAGTAAAGAAGTAAAGTTGCATGATTAATATGAATGGGAGACAACATGAGATGTGGAGGGCAGTTCCAGAGACAGTTGATATACAGAAACAAATAATCAAGTATAAAATGCAGATATTAACAGGAAACAGAGGAGCAGGTAGCAAATGCGGGGATATATGACCTAACTCAGTTAAAGGGCGAGTTTTGGGTAAATATTATGCTTGGTTGAATGTTTATTATTATATGAGTAATGCATGTTCATTCACCAAGTTTGGAAAATACAGAAGAGTTCAATAAAGATAATAAAAATTATCAAAAACCTTACTACATTGCATTGCCAATGTTAACACTGTGTTTTAAGTTTTTTTGATTTTGTAGATATATATGAATATTTAAACCTTATTAATTACATACATATAAGTGTGTTTGTGTGTATGTGTGTAAAATAATCCTCTTATGTATATGTTCTTTTAACTTTATGATAAAATTGTGAAAAAATATATGACACAAATAAAATTATACTATTTTTAAAGCTTTTTTCTATTATAAAAGATTATGATCTTTCTAAAAATATTATTTTAATGGCCAGAAGGGGCTCTATTGTACAGGTGAATCATGACTCATTTACCCACTCCCTTATTGTCAAAAATGTGGATTTATGGAAGTACTAAGCAATTTTCTTTCTTTTTTTATTTATTATTATTATACTTTAAGTTTTAGGGTACATGTGCACAATGTGCAGGTTTGTTACATATGTATACATGTGCCATGCTGGTGTACTGCACCCAGTAACTCATCATTTAGCATTAGGTATATCTCCTAATGCTATCCCTCCCCACTCCCCCCACCCCATGACAGGCTGCGGAGTGTGATGTTCCCCTTCCTGTGTCCATGTGTTCTCATTGTTCAATTCCCACCTATGAGTGAGAACATGCAGTGTTTGGTTTTTTGTCCTTGCGATAGTTTGCTGAGAATGATGGTTTCCAGTTTCATCCATGTCCCTACAAAGGACATGAACTCATCATTTTTTATGGCTGCATAGTATTCCATGGTGTATATGTGCCACATTTTCTTAATCCAGTCTATCATTGTTGGACATTTGGGTTGGTTCCAAGTCTTTGCTATCGTGAATAATGCCGCAATAAACATACGTGTGCATGTGTCTTTATAGCAGCATGATTTATAGTCCTTTGGGTATATACCCAGTAATGGGATGGCTGGGTCAAATGGTATTTCTAGTTCTAGATCCCTGAGGAATCGCCACACTGACTTCCACAATGGTTGAACTAGTTTACAGTCCCACCAACAGTGTAAAAGTGTTCCTATTTCTCCACATCCTCTCCAGCACCTGTTGTTTCCTGACTTTTTAATGATCACCATTCTAACTGGTGTGAGATGGTATACCATTGTGGTTTTGATTTGCATTTCTCTGATGGCCAGTGATGATGAGCATTTTTTCATGTGATTTTTGGCTGCATAAATGTCTTCTTTTGAGAAGTGTCTGTTTGTGTCCTTCGCCAAGTTTTTGATAGGGTTGTTTGTTTTTTTCTTGTAAATTTGTTTGAGTTCATTGTAGATTCTGGATATTAGCCCTTTGTCAGATGAGTAGGTTGCGAAAATTTTCTCCCATTCTGTAGGTTGCCTGTTCACTCTGATGGTAGTTTCTTTTGCTGTGCAGAAGCTCTTTAGTTTAATTAGATCCCATTTGTCAATTTTGGCTTTTGTTGCCATTGCTTTTGGTGTTTTAGACATGAAGTCCTTGCCCATGCCTATGTCCTGAATGGTATTGCCTAGGTTTTCTTATAGGGTTTTTATGGTTTTAGGTCTAACATTTAAGTCTTTAATCCATCTTGAATTAATTTTTGTATAAGGTGTAAGGAAGGGATCCAGTTTCAGCTTTCTACATATGGCTAGCCAGTTTTCCCAGCACCTTTGTGGTCAAAAATTTGGATTTATGGAAGTACTAAGCAATCTTCTTAATCCTAACTAGTAAAGCCTTAGTATGAATCTATGAATGTCTATAGAACAGGAAAGCTGCAGATATGATAGAACCTGGAATATTGGGTAAACATAATTTTATTTCTTTGATTTCTCACATATTTCCATCCAAATTTGTCTGTAGATTTTTTTACCAAACAAAAAAATTAATTCATGAAGCTGTGGACTCTTGTCTTTCATCTGTTATTTTGGATCTGGAAATAATCGTTTTTTAATATTGTCTATTCTAGTGCCTTTTGTGCCACAATTTTTAACTTCTTCCCTAAACATACTTATTTTGGAGAAAAAAAGACATTTATTTGGTGAGTTTTTCTCCTCTAATTACAAATTAAATTTATTTTTATTGTATTGGAAGAATCTGGTCTAAGAAGAGAAAGATGCCTTCTAGCAACACAATTATTCAATAATGAATTGTGGGTCATATACAATATAAAAATACAAGCAAAGACATTATAAAGAAGGAAGAAAACTGCCATCTGTTTACAGACAACATTATTAGCTATTTCAAAAACCAAGATATTAAACTAAAATTTAAAGAGCTCATAAGATAGCAGTCAGAAAACCAGATAAAAAATAAACAAGATAAAATCATTAGCTTCTCTGTATTCTAGCAATAACAATCAGAAGATATACTGATAATGGAGAAAGATATTTTCTTCACAATAAAAACAAAAATACAAAATATCTTGAAATAAACTCAACTGAAATATAAAATAATATGGATAATCAATTTTTAAATGCTGAAGATTTAAAATATAATGACTAAATGGGGCATATACCATGTTTACAATAACACAATGTGTTAATTCTCCATGACTTAATCAATAAATCCAATCCAAATCACACTCAACAAGATTTTTATAAACCCTAAAATATGCTTTTAAAATTAATATGAAATATAAAATAATGAAGGAAATCCAAGAAATATTTGAGTTAGAACAACAGAGGACATTACTTATTAACAATACCAATTAAAATAATACAGTATTGATAACGAAATAAATTGACTGAAAATAATAGACCAATGTGGCACATATACACCATGGAATACTATGCAGCCATAAAAAGGGATGAGTTTCTGTCCTTTGCAGGGACATGGATGAAACTGGAAACCATCAAAAAAGTAACCATCAAAGTAACACAAAAAGAGAAAGTCAAACACTGCATGTTCTCACTCATAAGTGGGAGTCGAACAATGAGAACCCACGGACACAGGGAGGGGAACATCACAGACCAGGGCCTGTTGGGGGGTGGGGGATCAGGGGAGGGATAGCATTAGAAGAAATACCTAATGTGAATGACAAGTTGATGGGTGTAACAAACCAATATGGCACATGTATACCTGCACGGTAACAAATCTGCACATTATGCACATGTACCCCAGAACTTAAAGTATAATAATTTTAAAAAAGAAAATAATGGACCATAAAAAAACCCAGAAAACTGGGAGAGGAAACATAAGGGCTAGTGAACACTAAACCTGCTGGCTGATCATCTAAGAAACCACACCAGAATCTATCAAGGCAGCAGGGGAACACAGAGAAAGAGGAGCAAAGCTGGGCATCAGCCTGTCTGGGTTCCACTCAGAGCCAGGAGAATCTTCCAACAGGAGTTAGTAAGTGAGAGCCCCCAGAGGGATTTACACTCTCCGCAGGTACCTGTAAAAGACTAGGAATGAAAGAATCCCCTGCCTCCCCATGCAACCCCACTCACCTCGCCACTGATAGTCAGGAAGGCAATGCCTGGCAGAGCTTCTGGCCCATTGTTCCTGCCTCTGTGAGAACTCAGCTGGAGGGCACAGCTTTCTGTTGTCCTGAGAAACACTGCGATGACAGAGCAGACAACCCCACCCAACCTGGCCACTAATAGTCAGGCAAGCAACACCTGCTAAAGCTTCTGGCCCAGAATTATTGCTCATGTGGGAACTCAGCTGGAGGGCACAGCATCCTTTTGCCCAGGGAAACATCCAGCTGGCAGAGCACACGCCTATTCCCCCCCACACAATGATAGCCAAGTAGGCAATGTCTAAAGCTACTGGCCCAGCGGCCCTGCTTCTTTGTGAACTCAGGTAGAGGGTACAGCTTCCTCTTGTCCCAGGAAACACCCAAACAGCAGAGCGCATGACCTCATTTACCCCCAACGCTGATAGCTAGGGAGCCATTTCTGCTAAAGCTTCTGTCCCAGTGGTCCTATTTCTGCCTGAATTGGCTGAGTGGTGAAGCCTCCAGTTGCCCTGGAAACACCTGAATAGCAGGGTAAGTGACTCCATTGACCCTTACCTCCCATACTGAGACAGGCCACACCTGCTAAAGATTCCAACCCTGTGGTCCAGCTTCTGCCTGAACTCTGCAGGCAGGTGCAATCTAGTGTTTCCCCAGGAAGAACATGGACAGTAGATTAGGTCTGAGCTGGCAAGAATACAGCTTGTCTGCCAACTGCGGCCCCTGCCTGAAGGAGCCCTGTGGACCAGAACACCCAACAAAAGGAACATAGGCATGGATAAGGTTCAGAAGGGGCTCTTCCAAGACACAGGAGCAGACTAGAAATCAAAGTCAGTCAACTGAACTCACCTTACACCATAATCAAACCCCCTTCAAAGCAGAAAAAAAAATCAATTTGTAAAACAACTACTTCAAAGATTGAAGGAACACTAGGCCACACAAATGAGAGAAAAACAGTATAAGAATTCTGGCAACTCAAAAAGCCAGAGTACCTCATTGCATCTGAAGAACTCCACTAGTTCCCTAGTGAGGTTTATTAACTGGGCTAAAATGGCTGAAATAACTGAAATAGAATTCACAATATAGAAAGAAATAAAGATCATTGAGATTCAGTAGACTATTGAAACCCAATCCAAGGAAGCTAAGAATCATAATAAAATGATACAGGAGCTGATACGATGAAACAGCCATTATAAAAAAGAACCAAACTGATCTGATAGAGCTGAAAAACACTACAGGAATTCCAAAATACACTTGCAAATATTAAGAGCAGATAAGACCAAGGTGAGAACAAAATATCAGAGCTCAAAGACTGGCTTTCTGAAATATCTATCTCAGTCAGACAAAAATAAATCAAAACTTTAAAAGAATAAAAAAATTGGAGAAATTTAAGATTATGTAAAGAGACCAAACCTGTAACTCATTGGCATCCCTGAAAGAGATGGAAAAATGCAAGCAACATGGAAAACATCTTTTAGCATATCATCCATGGAAACGTTTCCAACTTTGCTACTGAGGCCAACACTCAAATCCAGGAAATGCAGAGAACCCATGTGAAATATTACACAAGAAGACCTCCCCAAGAAGCATAATTATCAGATTCTCCAAGGTCAAAATGAAAGAAAAAAATATTAAAGGCAGCTAAAGACATGAACCCAGTAACTTACAAAGGGAACCACATCAGGCCAACAGTAGACATTTCAGTAGAAACTCTAAAAGCCAGAAGACATTGGGGGCCTATATTCAATGTGAAAGAAAATAAATTCCAAGGAGGAATTTCATACCCAACCAAACTAAGCTTCATAACTGAAGGAGAAATAAGTTTCCATTCAGAGAGCAAATGCTGAGAAAATGTATTACCACCAGACCTACCTTACCAGAGGTCCCAAAAGAAGCAGTAAATATGGAAAAGAAAGGATATTATCAGCCACTACAAAAACACACACTTAAGTACACAGACCAGTAACAATATAAAGGAACACACAAACAAGTCTGTATGATAACCAGTCAAGAATATCATGACAGGAACAAATTCACAGATATCAATACTAACCTTGAATGTAAAGAGGTTAAATACCCCAATTAAAAGGGACAGAGTAATAATCTTGGTAAAGAAACAAGATCGAATGGTATGTTGTCTTAAAGAGACCCATCTCACATGCAGTAATATTCATACACTCGAAATAAAGAGATGGGGAAAAATCAACCAAGCAAATGGAAAACAGAAAGAAAAGGAGGGGTTGCAATCCTAATTGCAAACAAAATGGACCTTAAACCAACAAAGATCAGAAAAAGGCAAAGAAAGGCATTATATAATGGTAAAAGCTTCAATTCTACAAGAAGACCTAACTATTCCAAATATATATGCACCGAACACAGGAGCACCTATTTTAATAGAGCAAGTTCTTAGAGACATGCAAGGAGACTGAGATTTCCACACAATAATAGCTAGAAACTTTAGCTCCCCACCAACAGTATTACACAGATCATTGAGGCAGAAAATTAACAAAGATAATAAAAACCTGGACTCAACACTTGACCAAATGGACCTAATAGACAAAACTCTCCACTCAAAAGCAACAGAATATACATTCTTTTTATCATTACATGGCACATACTCCAAAATCAACCAAATATTCAGACATAAAGCAATACTCAGCAAATTCAAAAGGACCAAAATTATACCAACCACCTTCTCAGGCCACAACACAATAAAAATTGAAATCAATTCTAAGAAAATTACTCAAAACTATACAATTATATGGAAATTAAACTCCTCCTGAATGACTTTTGGTAAACAATAAAATTAAGGCAGAAATAAAGAAGAAGTTCTTTGAAATTAATAAGAGCAAGGATACAACATATCAGAATCTTTGGGACACAGCTAAGGCAAAGTTAAGAGGAAAATTTATAGCACTAAACATCCACATCATAAAGTTAGAAAGATCTTCAATTAAAAATCTAACATCAGCACTATAACTAGAAAAGCAAGAGCAAATCAACCCCAAAGCTAGCAGAATACAATAAATAACTAAAATCAGATCCAAACTGAAATAAGTTGAGACATGGAAAACAGTTTGAAAGGTCAACAAATTCAGAAGATGATTCTTTGAAAAAATTCATAAGATAGATACAGCACTAGCTAGACTTATAAAGAAAAAAAGAGAAGCACCAAGTAAGCAGAATTAGAAATAACAAAGGGGTTGTTATCAGTGACCACACAGAAATAAAAAGCAAACCATAAGAGACTACTATAAACACCTCTATGCATACAAACTAAAAAATCCTGAAGAAAGAGATGAATTCCTGGAAACGTACACCATCCCAAGACTGAAACAAAAAGAAATTGAAACTCTGAACAGACCATTACCAAGTTCTGAAATTTAATCAGTAGTAATTAACCTACTAACCAAAAAAAGTCCAGGACCAGATAGATTCATAGCTGAATTATACCAGTTGTACAAAGAAGAGCTGTTACTATCCGTATTGAAGCTATTCCAAAATAATGAAGAGTAGGAGCCTCTTCCCAACTCATTCTGTGAGTCCAGGATCATCCTGATACCAAAACCAGACAGAGAAACACCAAAAACAGCAACAACAGCAAAACACACACACAAAAACCACTTCAGGCCAATGTCTTTGATGAACATAGATGCAAAAATTCTGAACAAAATAATAGCCAACCAAATCAAGCAGCACGTCAAAAGGCTAATACACCATGGAATACTATGCAGCCATTAAAAAGAACAAGATCATGTCCTTGCAGCAACTTGGATAGAGATGGAGGCCATTATCAAAAGCAAATTGACACAGGATCAGAAAACCAGATATTGCATATTCTCTAAGTGAAAACTAAACAATGAGAAGATATGAATACTAGGAGGGGAACAACAAACACCGGGGTATACTTGAGGATGAAGGGTGAAAGGAAGGACAGGATCAGAAATAACACCTATTGGGTACTATACTTATTACATGGATGACAAAATTGTATGTATTCCAAACCCCTGTGATACACAGTTTACCTATATAATAAACCTGCACATGTACCCCTGAATCTAAAAGTTAAAAACATAATAATTAAGAAACAAGAAGATATATGTATGTCATTTCAGCATACATTTAAGGCAATATTTCAAACTAGTAAGAAAAATAAAAGACTTTATTAATGATTTGGGGAAATCAATCACCCAAAATTAAAAAAAAAAGCATGAACTCATTTCAAGTGGCTATTATTATTTGAATTAAATAAAATTTTAGAACAGATTTTGATCTATAAAATCCACAGACACAAAAATATTATAAAGGCTGAGCTAAGCAACTTATAAAATCCAGAGTTCATGAAACAATTGACAGATTTAAATTATAAGATAGAATCTTTTTGTCATGAAAGACAGTACAATATAAGTAATTTTAATATAAAATATTAATTAGAATTAATTATAATGGCAGGAGAGTAAGTAAAATAAGAGAGAAGATCCCAATAAGCTTAATAAAAAATGAAACTGGAGATGTTGCAACTGATACCACAGAAATACAAAAGATCACCCAAGGCTAATATGGACACCTTTACATACACAGACTAGAAAATCTAGAGGATGTGGACAAATTCTTGAAAATATACAACTTCTAGATGAAATAAGAATTAGAAACCCTGAACAGACCAACAACAAACAGCAAGATTGAATCAGTAATAAAAATAAATTGCCACCATGAAAAAGTCCAGTATGAGATGGATTCACAGCTGAATTATATTAGACATAAAAAAAAGATTAAAAAAAAACCTTACAAAATACTACTGAAAGAAATCATAGATGACACAAACAAATGAAAACACATCCCATGCTCACGGATGGGTGGAATCACTGTTGTGAAATTGACCATACTGCTTAAAACAATCGACAGATTCAATGCAATTCCTATCAAAATATCATCATCATTATTCATGGAATTAGGAAAAAATTATAAAATTCATATGCAACAAAAAAGAGCCCACAGAGCCAAAGCAATCCTAAACAAAAAGAACAAATCTGGAGACATCATATTACCAAACTTCAAGGTATACTACAAGGCTATAGTTACCAAAACGGCATGGTACTGGTACAAATAGAGTCATGTAGACCAATGGAACAGAATACAGAACCCAGAAATAAAGCCAAATACTTACAGCCAACTGTTATTTGACAAAGTATACAAAAACATGAAGTGGGGAAAGGACACCCTATCCAACAAATGGTTCTGGGAAAACTGGTAAGCTACATGTAGAAAAAGGAAATTGGATTCTCATCTCTCACCTTATACAAAAATCAACTTAAGATAAATTAAAGTATTAAATCTCAGACCTAAAACCATATAAATTCTAGAAGATAACATAAGGAAAACTTTTCTAGACACTGGTTTAGGCAGAGAATTTATGACTAAGAACTCAAAAGCCAATTCAACAAAAACAAAAATAAATAAATTGGACCTAAATAAACTAAAAGACTTCTGCACAGCAAAAGAAATAATCAGTAAACAGACAACCTACAGAGTGAGAGAAAATATTTGCAAACTATGCATCTAAAGAATAACTAATATCAAGAATATACAAGGAGCTCAAACAAATAATCAAGAAAAAAGCAAATCCAATCAAAACCCATCAAAAAGTGGGCAAATAACATGAATAGACAATTCTCAGAAGACCATATACAAACAACCAACAAACATAAAAATTGCTCACTGATTCCACAGAAATACAAACTACCATCAGAGAATACTATAAACTCCTCTATGCAAAGAAACTAGAAAATCTAGAAGAAATGGATAAATTCCTGGATACATACACCCTCCCAAGACTAAACCAGGAAGAAGTCTAATGTCTGAATATACCAATAACAAGTTCAGAAATTGAGGCAGCAATTAATAGTATACTAACCAAAAAAAGCCCAGGACCAGACGGATTCACAACTGAATTCTACCAGAGGTACAAAGAGGAGCTGGTACCATTCCTTCTGAAACTATGCCAAACAGTAGAAAAAGAGGGACTCTCCCCTAACTCATTTTATGAAGTTAGCATCATCCTGATACCAAAATTTGGCACAGACACAACAAATAGAAAATTTCAGGCCAATATTCCTGATGAACATCGATGCGAAAATCCTTAATAAAATTTTAGCAAACCAAATCCAGCAACACATAAAAAAACTTATCCACCACGATGAAGTCTGCTTCATCCCTGAGATGCAAGGCTTCTTCAGCATACACAAATCAATAAACGTAATCCATCACATAAACAGAACCAACGACAAAAACCACTTGATTATCTCAACAGATGCAGAAAAGGTCTTTGATAAAATTCAACACCTCTTCAGGCTAAAAACTCCCAATAAACTAAGTGTTGATGGAATGTATCTCACAATAATAAGAGCTATTTATGAAAAACCCACAGCCAATATCATACTGAATGGGCAAAAGCTGGAAGCATTCCCTTTGAAAACTGGCACAAGACAAGGATGCCCTCTCTCACCACTTCTATTCAACATAGAATTGGAAGTTCTGGCCAGGGCAATCAGGCAAGAGAAAAAAATAAAGGGTATTCGAATAGGAAAAGAGGAAGTCAAATTGTCTGTTTGTAGACTACATGATTGAATATTTAGAAAACCCCATTGTCTCAGCCCAAAATCTCCTTGAGCTGATAAGCACTTTCAGCAAAGTCTCAGGATACAAAATCAATGTGCAAAAATCATAAGCATTCCTATACACCAATAACAGACAAACAGAGTCAAATCATGAGTGAACTCCCATGCACATTTGCTATTAAGGGAATAAAATACCTAGCAGTACAACTTACAAGGGATGTGAAGGACCTCATCAAGGAAAACTACAAACCACTGTTCAAGCGAATAAGAGAAGACACAAACAAATGGTAAAATATTCCATGCTCGTGGATAGAAAGAATCAATATCATGAAAATAGCCATACTGCCCAAAGTATGTATAGATTCAATGCTATCCCCATCAAGCTATCATTCACACTCTTCACAGAATTAGAAAAAAATACTTCAAATTTGATATGCAATCAAAAAAGAGCCCATATAGCCAAGACAAGCCTAAGCAAAAAGAACAAAGCTGGAGGCATCATGCTACCTGACTTCAAATTATACAAGGCTACAGTAACCAAAACAGCATGGGACTGGTACCAAAACTGATATATAGACCAATGGAACAGAACAGAGTCCTCAGAAATAACGCCACACATCTACAACCATCTGATCTTTGACAGACCTGACAAAAACAAACAATGGGAAAGGGATTCCCTATTTAATAAATGGTGTTAGGAAAACTGGCTAGCCATATGCAGAAAACTGAAACTGGACACCTTCCTTACAGCTAATACAAAAATTAACTCAAGATGGATTAAAGACTTAAACGTAACATGTAAAACTCTAAAAACCCTAGAAGAACACCTAAGCAATACCATTCAGGACATAGGCATGGGCAAAAACTTCAGGCCTAAAACACCAAAAGACATGGCAACAAAAGCAAAATTGACAAATGTAATCTAATTAAACCAAAGAGCTTCTACACAGCAAAAGAAACTACCATCAGAGTGAACAGACAACCTACCGAATGGGAGAAAATTTTTGCAATCTATCCATCTGACAAAGGGCTAATATCCAGAGTCAACACATCTAATTTTTCTATGTTATTCTACACTAATCTACCATCATTGTTGTATATTCTTCTATGTTTTTTATGTGACTCCATGGCTGAGAAAGTTTATTACATTTATGGAGAGTTGAGAAGAAGAAAAAATAAGAAGTAGTAGGAGGAGAAAGATGGAAAGAAGGAGGATAAGCAGGAAGAAGAAGGGCAGGAGGAGGAAGGAGAGGAAGAAAAAGAAAGGGAGAAAGAGGAGGTGGAGAAGGAGGAGAAAGTAAACATTAGAATAGCATTGTAAAAATTAACCAATGTTAATATTTTTCATTTTGACAAATATACTATTGTTATGTAAGATATTAATATTCGGCCAATTTGGGTGTCTTTAGATGTGAGTCACTGTGAAAAAAGCAGCATCGCATTAGTGGTATATCTGCCAAAATTTCATATCCTGAGCCTGGTCATGAAAAACCCCAAACAATATGAGCCTTCTTTCCCACAGAATAAAAGGCTATTATTCCTTAAAATTGGCACAGTCATGAAAGAGAGGGTAAGACAGAAAAACTGTTCCAAATTAAAGGGCAGTAAAGAGATGTGATAATTGAGTGCAACATTTAATCCTGGATTAGATCCTGGACCAAAAATATAAAACACAAATTATTGAGACCATTAGCAAAATTTGAATGGAATCTGTAAAATGAATGGCAATGTTTACTAATTTGGAGGTTGTAATGGTGGTATGGTGAAAAAAGTCCTTACTTTGGCAAATGTATACTGTAATGTTATAAATTTGTAGCATCAGACTTATGCCATATTCTTAACTTATTCAGAAAAAGAATAATGCAATATTTCTATCTAAAATATCTCAATATTTATTGAGAGGGAGAGAGAGAGAGAGAGAGCACATATCATACATAAATCATTGACAATTGGGGAGTCTGAGTAAAGAAGATACATACTTTTTGTACTGTTCATACAGCTTTTTTAAAGTTTGAAATTATTTCAAAAATTGATGTCTCAGGTGGTTCTAGTAGATGATTAAAACAAATATATAGTTTGATGAAGAGGGCTGCTGCCCAGTGATGAAGAAATGATACTAATTAAAAGAGGTGGAAAATATGTGAAGGCATTAATTAATCTAGACTACTTCTTGTTGTTTGAACAGAAGTCTTCTTTATGCAATGAAATTATTGATAATTGTCTAATTCATATGCCTTTCCTAATTTTCCAAACAAGTGTGTATTGAAAAAAGACATATTTTACTCTGAATATTTTTTTAAATATTAATCTTACAAATATTTTATTCATAATTAATTATGCTGTCAAGATTAAATGAGTGAGTTTAAGAAAATGCTATTTCAAATTTCAGTTACACTACTTGCTTTTGACTCATAAATAATCAGTTTTTTCTAGAAATTAATTTCACACACCAACCTGTTTATGATCTTGATATCAAGTTAATTTTAGGATCTGGAATTTTCTATCATTAAAATAACCAGAATCTCATTACAAAATTTATTCCTGAAGCCTTAAAATATGAATTTCATTGACAATGAACTTCTATATTTTCCCAACTAGTATTAATACTGTGTAACATTACTTTTTATTTCAAATAATTTTCATTGCCTAAGATGAATCATGTCACCATTACATTCCACAATATTAAAGGCACTTCTGATTAAATAGAAATTCATGATCAAAGATTAGACACTCACACAGAAGTACTCAAAATGTGAAAATACATTTGCAGACTTGGATGGTTATATCTAGGGACAGAACAAAGTTTCCTATAGACTATTTAATTCTAAATTTAAAATTCTGTGCCCACTTTGGCAGCATATATACAAAAAATTAAAACAACACAAAGAAGATTAGCATGGCCTCTGTACATGGATGACATGCAAATTTGTGAAGCATTTCATATTTTTCCAGGAAAGAAAGGAAGACACAAACAGCCTAAAAAGTAATCAATCAGAGCTTCTGTAATTAAAAAACTAATTTAAAAAATTAAAAAGTTCAATTGAAATCTTTATCAATAGACTACACAAACCAGAAGAAAAAAATCTGAGTTTTAACACTGGTCTTTTGAGCTAACCCAGTCTACAAAAAATAAATAGGAAACATATTTTTATAAATAAGCAAAGTCTTCTTTGAGAAATATGGGATTATGTAAATGACCACATCCACAGAAAAAGAGGAAGAGAAAGTAAAGAAACTGGAAAACATACTTGCAGGAGTACTTCAAGAAAATCTCCTTAATTTTACTACAGAGATTTACAGCAAGATGCAACAAATCTAGAGAACACCTGTTAGATATTATACAAAAAAAAAAGCAAGGCATACAGTAAATGGATTGACCAAGATCAAGCCTGAATAAAAAATGGAAAGGTAACTAGACAAAAAAGTCAGATTACATCCAAACACCATCAGGCTAACAGCAGATCATACAGAAGAAACCTTACAAGCCAGGAGAAATTGGTGGCCTATTTGGAGCATCCTTTTTTTTTTTTTTTGAGACAGAGTCTCGCTCTGTCACCCAGGCTGGAGTGCAGTAGCATAATCTCAGCTCACTGCAAGCTCTGCCTCCCAGGTTCATGCCATTCTCCTGCCTCAGCCTCCCATGTAGCTGGGACTACAGGTGCCCGCCACCACGCCTGGCTAATTTTTTGTATTTTTAGTAGAGACAGGGTTTCACCATGTTAGCCAGGATGGTCTCGATCTCCTGACTGTGTGATCTGCCTGCCTTGGCCTCCCAAGAGCACTCTTAAAGGAAAGAAACTCCAACCAAAAATTTTATTTCCCACTAAACTAAGTTTCATAAGGAAAAGAGACACATTCTCCAGGCAAGCAAGCACTAAGAGAATTTGTTACCACTAGGCCAGCCTTCCAACAGATCCTTAAGGGATTTCTAAAAATTGAAATAAAAGAACAAGACCTGCTATCAGAAAAACACACTTAAGTACATAACCCACTGACCATATAAATCAACCACACAATAGAAACTACAAAGCAACCAAATAACAGCTTAATAATAAGATCAAGACCTGTCATGTCAATACTAACCTTGAATTTAAATGGCCTAAACACCGCACTTAAAGGGCACAGAGTGGCAAGTTGGAATTAAAAAAAAAAAAAAAAAAAAACCTCTCTGCTATCTCCTAAAGACCTGTCTCACATGGTCTCATGGAAAGACACAAATGGGCTCAAAGTAAAGGGTTGGAGAAAGATTTATTATGCAAACAAAAAATAAAAAAGAGCCAGGGTCGCTATTCTTATAACAAATAAAACAGACTTTAAACCAACCACAGTAAAAACAGACAAAAATGGGTGTTACATGCTGATAAAGGATTCAATTCATCAAGAATACTTACCTATACTAAATATATACACATCCATCACTGGAGCACCTATTTTATAACTTCTAGACCTATAAAAAGACTTCAAAGGAAACACAGTAATAGTGGGGGACTTCAACACCACACTTCCAGTGTTATACATAACATCAAGCAAGAAAATTAACAAAACAATTATGGAATTAAATTTTACATATGACCAATTAGACCACATAAAAATCTACAGAATACTCCACCACCCATCAATCAACCACAGAATATGCAATCATCTCATCTGCAAACAGTACCTGCACCAAGACTGACCACATGTTCAGCAAAAAAAGCACATTTCTATAAATTCAACAAAATCTAAATTACACCAATCATATTATGAGACTATAACGAAATAAACATAGAAATCAATACCAAGAAGATTTCTCAAAATTACACAAATTAGTGGAAATTAAACAACTTGTTCCTGAATAACTCCAAGGTGACTATTTAAATAAAGGCAAACATTAAAAAATTTTAATTAATGAAAATAGGGACAGAACTTAAAAAAACTTTTGAGATACAGTTGAGGTAGTGTTAAGAGAAAAGTTTATGGTGTTAAATGTCTACCTCAAAGAGTTAGAAAGATCTCAAATTAATGATATAACATCATGTCGAGAGGAACCAAAAAGTCAAAAACAAACACCAAAGCTAGCCAAAGAAATAAAATAATTAACATCAGAGCAGAACTAAATAAAATTGAGACCTCCCTCAAATTAATATAAAGTATCAAAAAAAGTTGGTTTTTTTAAACAATAAAATATATTGATAGAAAACTAGCTATATTAACAAAGACAAAAAAGAGAAGATCCAAATAAGAACAATCAGAAATTACAAAAGTGACCTTACAATGGATACCAAAGAAATAAAAAAGATTCTCAGAGAGTATTATGAACACCTCCAGATAAATAAACTAGAAAATCTAGAGGATATTGATATATTCATGGAAAGACACAACTTCTGAAGACTGAATCAGTAAGAAATTGAAACCCAGAACAGACCAATATTGAGTTCTAAAATTTAATCAGTACTACCAAAAAACAAAACAAAACAAAACATAGACACAAAAATCCTTAACAAAATAATAGCAAACCAAATTCAGCAGCACATCAAAAAGGTAATTCAGTATGATCAAGTCAGCTTCATTCCTGGGATGCAAGGTTGGTTCAACATATGCAAATCAATAAATGTAATTCACCACATAAAAAATTAAAAACAAAATCCATATAATCATCCCAATAGATGTGGAAAAAGCTTTTGAGAAAATTCAACATCCCTTTATGATGATAAAAGCCCTCAACCAAGCATTGGAAGAACATAACTCACAATAATAAGAGCCGTCTATGACAAACCCACAGCACCATACTGAATGGACAAAAACTGCAAACATTCCTGTAGTAGGCCATCCTTGCATTACTATAAAGAAATATCTGAGACTGGATAATGTATAAGGAAAAGATGTTTAATTGGCTTACAATTCTGTGGGCTTTACAGAAAACATGGTGCTGGCATCTGCTCAGCTTCTGGGGAGGCCTCCTGAAGCTGAAAATCTTACAGAAGGTGAAGAGGGAGCAGTCATATAACATGACCAAAATAGGAAGAAAGGAGTGTGTCAGGGGGATGGTGCCACACATTTAAGAAAAAAAAATTATTTAATTTTTTTAAATTTTCAACTTTTATTAAGTTCAGGGGCACACGTGCAGGATGTGCAGGTTTGTTACATAGGTAAACATGTGCCATTGTGACTTGCTGCACAGATTATCAATTGTTCAGGTATTAAGCCCAGCATCCACTAGCTATTCTTCCTGATCTGCTCCCTCCTCCAACCCCCACCCTCCAACAGGCACCAATGTGTGCTGTTCCCTCCTATGTGTCCATTCATTCTTACCATTTAGCTCCTGTTTTTAAGTGAGAACATTGAATATTTGTTTTTCTGTTCTTGAATAAGTTTGCTAAGAATAATGGCCCCCAGCTCCATCCATGTCCCTGAAAAGGACATGATCTCATTCTTTTTTATGTCTGCATAGTATTCCATGGTGTATATATACCACATTTTTCCTTATCCATTCTATCACTGATGGGCATTTAGGTTAATTGCATGTCTTTGCTCTGGTGAATAGTGCTGCAATGAACATGTTCATGTGTCTCTATAATGAAACAATTTATATTCTTTTGGTATACACTCAGTAATGGGATTGCTGGATCAAATTGTGTTGCTGTCTTTAGGTCTTTGAGGAATCATCACACGATCTTCCACAATTGTTGAACTAATTTACATTCTTACAGTGTATAAGTGTTCCTTTTTCTCCACAACTTCACCAGCAATTTTTTTTCTATCTTTTTACTTTTAATAATACCCATTCTTAGGGGTTGATCTTCTAATGGTGTATCTTCCTGCAGTTCTCTGGATTTGCTGAATTTGAATGTTGGCATGTCTTGCTATTTTGGGGAAGTTCTGGATGATATTGTGAAGTATGTTTTCCAATTGGTTCTGTTCTCCCCGTCTCTTTCAGGTACCCCAATCAGTCATAGGTGCAATCTTTTTACATAATCACATAGTTCTCAGAGGTTTTGTTCATTGCTTCTTATCCTTTTTTTCTCTAATCTTGTCCGCCTGTCTTATTTCAGCAAGATAGTCTTCAAGCTCTGAGATTCTTTTCTCCTCTTGGTCTATTCAGCTGGCTATTGATACTTGTGGTTGCATTCTTAAGTTCTCATGTTGTGTTTTTCAGCTCCATCAGGTGATTTATGTTCCTCTATAATTTGGTTATTCTGGTTAACAGCTCCTGTAATGTTTTATCATGGTTTTTAGCTTCTTTGCATTGGGTTAGAACATACTCCTTTAGCTCAGTGAAAGAGTATTTGAGCTTATATACCTTTGATCTTTGAGGCTGCTGACCTTTCGGTGGGGTTTTGTGGGGTCTTTTGTTTGTTGTTGTTGTTGTTGCTTTCTGCTTGTTTGTTTTCCTTTTATCAGTCAGGCCGCTCTTCAGTAGGGCTTCTGTAGTTTTCTGGGGTTGCATTCAAAACATTATTTGCCTAGGTCCCTCCCACACATGGAGGTGTTACCAGTGGAGGCTGCAGAACAGAAAATATGGCTGCCTGTTCCTTCCTCTGGGAGCTCCATCCCAGAGGCGCACAGACCTGATGCCGGTGGGAACGCTCCTGTATAAGATGTCTGCTGGCCCCTGTTGGGCGGGGATCTCACCAAGTCAGGAGGCCCAGGATCGGGGATCCATTTAATGAATCACCCTAGCCCCATGGAAGAACAAGTGTGCTGAGCTGGGAGGAATGCCCCTCCTCTGAGTATTCTTCAGAGCCAGCAGCCAGGAAGGACCAAGTTGGCTGGACCCCAGAGACCATGGCTGCCCCGCCCTCTGGTGGCTCTGTCCCAGGGATTTCAGAGTTCTGTCCATAAACTCCTTGCTGCAGATGCTGAAATTCCTGCAGGGAGGCCCCGCCTGGTGAGGAGGAATGGATCCAGCTTCCACCTAAAAAAGCAATCTGGCCACGATTTGCCACAGCCGCTGTGCTATGCTGTGGGGAATTCCTCCCAGTCCAAACCACCAAGTCTCCTGCCTCAGCAGGGGAAAAGGGCAAACTGGAACTGACATGATGTCAGCTGCCCCTTCCACCGGGTACTCAGTCGTCTTGGGCAGTCTTCATCCTGCCGATGCTGGCTGCAACCCGAGCAGCCACTGAGCATCTGCACAGCTCCATTCTTGGGACAAAATCCACAATCTACAAGGAACCTAAATTTACAAAAAACAAAAAACAAAAAACAAACAAAAAAAAACAACTCATTTTAAAGTGAGCAAAGGACATGAACAGACACTTCTCAAAATAAGACATGTATGCAGTGAAGAAACATATGAAAAAAGCTCAACATCTCTGATCATTAGACAAGTATAAATCAAAACCACAGTGAGATACCATCTCATGCCAGTCAGAATGGCAATTATTAAAAAGTCAAGAAACAAGAGATACTGATGAGGCTATGGAGAAATAGGAATGCATTTATACTGTTGAGGGAAGGTAAATTAGTTCACCCATTGTGGAAGACAGTGTGGTAATTTCTCAGAAACCTAGAACCAGAAATATCATTTGACCTAGCAATCTTATTACTGAGTATACACAAACAAATATAAATTATTCTATTATAAAGATACATGCACACATATGTTCATTGCAGCACTATTAACTATAGCAAAGACATGGAATCAACACAAACGCTTGTCTTATTTCATCAAAGATACAGTGAGTAAAGAAAATGCAGTGCGTGTACACCACAGAATACTATACAGCCATAAAAAAGGAACAAGATCATATCCTTCGCAGGGACATGTATGGAGCTGGAAGCCATTATTCTCAGCAAACTATACAGGAACAGAAAACTAAATACTCGATGTTCTCACTTATAAGTGGGAGCTGAACAATGTGCATACATAGACACATGGAGTGGAAAAACACCCCAACACACACTGGTGCCTGTATTGGGGGCAGAAGGAGGGAGAACATCAGGAAAAATAGCTAATGCATGCTGGGCTTAATACCTAGGTGATGTTTTGATCTGTGCTGCAAATCACCATGGCACAAATTTTCCTATGCAACAAATTTGCACATCCTGTACATGTACACCAGAACTTAAAATAAAATAAAATATGAAAGGGGAATATTCATACACTGTCATTTGGAATTTAAATTAGTTCAGCCACTGTAAAAAACCAGTTTGGAAATTTTTCAAATAAATTAAAACAGAACTACCACTTGACTCAGCAATCACATTACTGGGTATATATCCAAAGGAAAAATTTTTCCACCAAAAAGACATATGCACTTGCATGTTAATCCCAGCACTATTTACAATATCAAAGCCATGAAATCAACACAGGTGCCCATTAATGGTGGATTGTATAAAGAAACTGTGGAACATATACATCATCATGGAATACTACACAGCCATAAAAAATGAAGTCATGTTTTTGCAGCAACATGAATGGAGATGGGGACCATTATCGTAAGTGAATTAATGCAGGAATAGAAAACCAAGTATTTCATTTTCTCATGTATAAGTGGGAGCTAAATATTTGGTACTCAGGAACATAAAGATGGCCACAGTGGAAACTGGGGACTACCATAGGAAGAAGGGAGGGACGGCAGCAAATGTTGACAAACTAACTGTTGGGTATTTTGTTCAGTACCTGTGTGATGGGATCATATGTACCCCAAACCTCAGCGTGACACAATATACCTGGGTACAAACCTGTACAAGTACCCCCTTAATCTAAAATAAAAGTTAAAAATTAGAAAAATAAAACTAATTTTAAAACTAAAATGACTAAAATGGCAAATATTATATGTATTTCACCAAAATATAAAATCTTGTTTAAAAATTTAAATTTCTTCACCCAGCTTTCTTCTGGCATTAAGGCATAGTGATTTCTCTTGTTATTCATGAAGAAATATTTTACTTATATGTGTTACCAAACCCTTACAGTCTACTGAGGGCTCAGACATGTAAACAACTTACCATAGGACCCTCAGCCTCACCCCTATATTCTCTTTGCTTGTGTAATATTTTTCTTCCCCAGGACCATGGAAGTTCAATACTTTTAGAGATCAGGAGAGAGCTAGTCTTTGGTGTCTACTCGGTATGTATTTAATTTAATTCTCACCACAACTCAATGATACAGAAATTGTTGTAATTACAATTATGCAGTTAAGAAAACTGAGTCAAATTATGGATTGTTGTGAGTTCAAAACCAAAACATGGTAGAAACTTTAAGACTCCAGAGTTCACAATGTTAAGCATTCTATCTCATTGTTTTCTGCATGCTGCATCCAAAGGATTTTAATCAAGTCTTGGGAATGTGAGTGAGTAATTTAAATTTTCTTGTTCCACTTATTTGATTTATAATTTGAGAGAGTTAAACTACATTATACAAGATTCCTGCCTAATTATGCTATGCCATACCAAGAGTTGTACCAATATGTCCAGAGTAGTCTTTTCTTACACCTTACATCCTGTGACCCATGCCCCAGCAATAATGAACTATGAGAAGTCAGACATGTGGGCAGCAATTATCTAAAAAAGTCTCAGCATCGCTGATCATTAGAGAAATGCAAGTCAAAACCACAATGGGATATCATCTCACACCAGTCAGAATGGCTATTGCTAAAAAGTCAAAAAATAACAGTTGCTGGCAAGATTGCAAAAAAAAGAAAGGGAATCCTTATACACTGTTGATGGGAGTGTAAATTAGTTCAATCATGTGAAAGACAAATGTGGTTGTTATCAAAGACCTAAAAACAGAAATACAATTTGATCTAGCAATTCCATTACTGGGTATAGATCCAAAGAAATATAAATTGTTCTACCATAAAGGTACATGCACGTGAATGTTCATTTCAGCACTTTTCACAATGGCAAAGACATGGAATCAACATAAATGCCCATCAATAATAAACTAGATAAAGAAAATATGGTACATATACACCATGGAATACTATGCAGCCATAAAAACAAAAGAGATCACGTCCTTTGTGGAAACATGGATCAAGCCGAAGGCCATTATTCTTCTCAAACCAGTGCATGAACAGAAAACTAAATACTGCATGCTCTCACTTACAAGTGAGAGCTAAATGATGAGAACGCATGGACACACAAAGGGGAACAACTCACACTGGGGTCTATTGGAAGGTAGAGGGTGGGAGGAGGGAGAGGATCAGGAAAAATAAACAGTGGGTACTAGTGTTAATACCTGAGGGACGAAATAATCTATATAGCAAACGCCATGACACGTTAACCTATATAACAAATCTGTACATGCATCCCCGAACTTAAAAGTTAAATAAAAAAAACTTATACACCCATAACTTTTATACATACAAATAAACTACGCATTACTTAATAACATGGATGCATTTTAATAAATGCATAATTAGGTGATTTCATCATTGTGCAAACATCAGAGTGTTTTTACACAAACCTAGATGATATAGCCCACTATAAAAATGGCCTATATGGTATAGCCTATTGCTCTTGAGCTACAAATCTCTACAACATGTTACTGTACTGAATACTGTAGGCAATTGTAACACAGGGTAAGTATTGGTGTATCTAAACATATCTAAACATAGAAAAGTACAGTAAAAAATATGACATTATAATCATATTGCACCATGGCTTTATATGCAGTTTATCATTGATGAAATTCCATTATATGGCTCATGACTGAATAGAAAAATAGCCAGCTACTATTTATTGAACATTTAATAATGTAGGCACTGGGTGTCTAATTCATATTCATATTTATGACACAGTTTCTTCATCTGCAAAACTAGGGTAATGATTTCATATATATATGAAATTATATATATAAGTTATATATAATACATATGATATACAATTTCATGTACTTGACATACCATAAATGAAATATATAAAAATAAATTATATGTAAATAAAAAATATATTTATATTTTATAAATTATATATCATAGAATTTTATATATGATATAACATATATGCAATTTCATATATATGATATATAACATATGTAAAATCATATATATGAAATTATGTGTATTTGTGAATATACATAAAATCATATTTGTAATATATATATTTCTTAAGATTCAGGTAAACAGGAAAAAAGTATATGTGATGATATATATGTAAGGTGATGAATTTGTTAACTAGACTGATTTAATATTCCACATTATAAATGCATAATATCATGACATTGCACCCCATAAACCTAGAAAATTATGCCAATTAAAAATATAATTATATTTTTAAATAAACAATTATAAATTTAAATGGTATTTAATTTAAGAAGGAAAGACCTTGGTACAACTGCTGGCTTATGGTAAAGTTATCCATAAATGTTGACTATTAAGAGTATCAAATTATAGAATCCTCTCAACAACCTTGTAAAGTAGATACCAGTATTGCCCCCAGTTAAAGGTGATTACATGTAGGTCCAGAGAAAGTCTATAACTGGAGTGTGGTCGCACACATAGTAGGTAGCAAAAAAATGATTCAAACTTAGGTATGTCTAACATTTTTCACTATAACAAACTTCCCTAACAAACTTCCCCTCCAAAAACTTATTTGATAATCTATTTAATGTTAAGATGTTTATATCGCAGTATTTTTTTTCCAGGGACATTATTTTCACTTTCTATCTCTAATAACTCCATTGAATTCACACTTCTCACATCCAACATGACTTTCCCTCTAGAGTAATTTTTCTCCAACTTGCCTTAGCAGGTAATTCCTACTTATTATTTTATACATCATCTTTTTAAGAGTTGAAAATTTAGCTACCCACATTTTTTATTGCTGCTTTTAGATCATTACTCCTTCATTATCTTCCCAAACCCCAAGTTCCTCAGAAACCCATAAATTCTACCTCAGTCTACTGTTATCCATTCTTCTTACTTGTTGTCTTATATTGACTCCTGCTCTATCTCTCTCAGTTACTAAAGATCTTAGCACCTGCATCATTGTATTTCTTTCTGCTTTAAAAACTGTCATCATCCCGAATAGTGTCACACCCATATGGATAATGTTATCATTCTGCGCAATTGATTTCCTACTTTTTCACCTTAAGTGATCTCCACTGACAATATATTTAGCTTTTACATGGCCATGCACCACACCTTTCCATTATCTGAAATTTGATCACATATGAGCTCTGATACCCCCTTTCTCATTAAACTCATCAAAACTTCCTATCTCTTCACTCTTTTAATTATAATTTAAACTCTCATGTAATGAAAATTACTGAGATAAATCATTTGATTGTTTACCTCTCACTTCAACCTTTTCTCCTTTGCTAACAGCACTTCTTTTATCTTTACTTAATTTCTTTCTTTTTTTTTTTTTCTTTTTGAGACTGAGTCTCACTCTGTTGCCAAGGCTAGAGTACAGTGGTATGATCACAGCTCACCACAATCTCCACCTCCCGGGTTCAAGCGATTATCCTGCCTCAGCCTCCCGAGTAGCTGGGACTACAGGTGCGCACCACCGTGCCTGGCTAATATTTGTATTTTTAGTAGAGACGGGGTTTCACTATGTTGGCCAGGCTGGTCTCAAACTCCTGACCTCGTGATCAACCCGCATCGACCTCCCAAAGTGCTGGGATTACAGGTGTGAGCCACTGCGCTCAACCTCTTTACTTAATTTCTTAGCCAGTATATTAATTTTTTAAAGTCACATTGTTAACAGGGCTGCGTTCCAGCTGCTTGATCTAGCATATATTCTGTTTCTTTGCTTTTTTCATTTTCTTCAATCTACCTTCATTCCTTGGCTCATGGCAGCTTCCTACATTGTCAAAGCCATCAGTGTAGCAAATTGAAATATTTTTCTCTCTCTGAACTCTGCTTGCCTGATCATATCTCTTCCTGTGCTTCTTTGGTCATGTTCAGTCTAGATCCCATGGTCCTTTCAGTTTTAGATCAATCTTGTTGTCTTCTCTTCCTTTCTCTTCTTTTTCTTTTTTCCTTCCCTTCCTTTCTCTTCCCTCCTCCACTTCATTCCTTTTTCTTCCTTTCCCACACTAAGTTTTCAACTTTGACTACACATTAGCATCAAAAGTTTTGTATAAATACTGCTGTCGGGAGCCTCACTCAGTATCTGTTAAGTCAGAATATCTTGGATGGAGCTAAGCCATCCATACTTCATAAAATCTCCCCAGGTGAATCTAATGTGGAATCAAGATTTTGAGCTGCTTCTCTACACTGTCCAGGGGTAATTTTCTTCACTCTTGTTGCTTCTATAATATCATTAGCCATATGTTGATTTCCCATATAGATTTACAACTAAGACCTATCTTCAAAACTTTATGTGTTTATACCCAATGCTTACTGGAAATCTCCATTTAGCATTAAAACAGAAGAGGGCAACACTGAATTTATTTTTCCCAGTCCCCTAAAGAGGAAACCAAAACACTTTACAGTCTTTCAAATGAGTGCCTTTTTCTCTGTCTCCAATGCCATTTTTAAATTGAACCATTGTCTTCTACCACCTTGCCTTCTCAATGCTCTGCCTCTCATCAACATAGCCACCTTTCAATTCGCTTCACACCCTTTCGCTAGTGTAATCTTTCTCAAATGAAAATTGGCACATGACATTTATCTGCTTATGATGCATTGCCCTCCAAATAAAATTAAAACGTCATGGCATGTTATACTTGAACATCAATAATCTGATATTTACTAACTTTCTAGCTTTGTCTCATGCCATTAAAACCTCTTCCCTCATAGTCTATGTTTTACCCATTCTGACATATTTGTTGATTAAGGCTTTCTCCTAGGCTTTGGTGTAAGTATTTTCTGTGATTGGACTACCTTATCCCCACGCAACCTGCTTTTAATCTCACTCATGCTGCCGGAGTTGATGGCAGCTCCTTCAGTTGAGAAAGTCATTTTTTTTTTCTAACTTAGGTACATAACTTTTAGAGAAATAGTTCTCAACATGTGATCTTTGTATCAGCATCATCAGCATCACCTGGGAACTTGTTAGAAATTCACACTGTCAAACACCACTTCAGACCTGCTAAATTCGAAACTATGTGCATTAACAAGTCCTCCAGGGATTCTAAATCAAGTTAAAGTTTGAAAATTACTGCTTTAAAGCACAGAATTGCGACATAATGTAAAAATTTTCATGCATGTTTTTCCTCACTGTATGAAATTACTTGACCGAGGTACTACATTTTTTTCATCACTATCACTTCACTGCTGGCTACAGCACCGGAAATGTTGATATTCAAGAAATAGTTGTTATATTTTTGAATAAATTAATATCTGAAAAATTAGAAGTTACTAAATTTAGTAGGTTATAAGGCAATAGCTAAATTTTTGAACCAAAGCGACTTTAAGGCATACCCCATAAGTACCTAACAGCTTGTCCCTGGGCACTCCAAAATAACTTCAACATCAGAGGATTTTAGATTTGCCTGAATTTTCTCTAAGTTTATTTCAGTGGATTCAACTTCACACTTCCAAAATCACACTCAAACATGAGCTTATCCAGCTTCTATTTGAAAAACAGAAAATAAAATGCAAAAACACGAGCTTGTTCAGATTCAGACTTAGCTAACCCTTTTTTAAGACTTACTGTATGACACGTTCTTTACTAGATGTGTTCACAAATGCCAATCTCAAAAGTTCTAAATATAAAGAATAATAAGAATGGTAAGGTTTCCTTTAATATTTACATGTTTCAGTATTTTGTGATTTAGAATATATTTCACATCAATTGTCATTTTATCCTCACAGCTCCCCAGTGGATTGGTAGACTGGTAAAGTTTTAAGTTACCATTTTATAGATTAGAAAATTGAGACGGAGATTTTAAAAGACATACTCAAGCCACACAAAAGAAGGGTAATGTAGGCAGACTAGACTAAGGTCTATATATTCTAGGTTACTGATTTTCCCCATAAGCCATGATGCCTTCCAAATAGCACTAACTTTTTAAAATTACAGAATTTCTGATACATATTTACTGGTGCTAATAGACAGAACTCTCTAAAAAGTAGAGTTTTAGAAAAAACAAACAAAACTTTGAAAAACACTTCTATCCGTCATGCAACATTGTGAGGATCCCTGTTTCATTTGGTTGCCAGATGAGGCAAAATTAAGATCAACAACCACAGGGCAACCATCAGACTGACAGAAAATGCAAATAAAGGATGAGATGTAAAAACAGAATTATACCAATAAATTAGAAATATTTATTTTAAAATCAAATTTTCAAACTAATATCCCATATACTTATCATGACCAACTGCCAATACTTTTCTTTCTTGAGCAAAAACAGCAAAGTAATTATTATGGTTTTCACTCCTGGTTTTTAACTATGAAACTCCAGAATACTTCCAGTTCATAATTAATTTCAAAATTGCAAATGGAACTTTTAAGTGGAAAATGATTTATCAATACTAGTAAATAAAAGGTAATCTTCAAATCAGTAATAATTGAAGCAGTCTTTGAGATGATACTCTGTTTATACATTTTTTATTATTATTCTTTAAGTTCTGAGTTACATGTGTAGAACAGGCAGTTTTGTTACATAGGTATACATGTGCCATGGTGGATTGCTGCACCCATCAACCCGTCACCTACATTACCTATTTCTCCTAACGTTATCCCTCCCCTATCCCCCCACAGGCCTGGTGTGTGATGTTCCCCTCCCTGTGTCCATGTGTTTTCATTGTTCAAATCCCACTTATGAGTGAGAACATGTGGTGTTTGGTTTTCTGATCTTGTGATAGTTTGCTGAGAATGATTATTTCCAGCTTCATCCATGTCCCTGCAAAGGACTTGAACTCATCCTTTTTTATGGCTGCATAGTATTCCATGGTGTATATATGCCACATTTTCTTAATCCAGTCTATCATTGATGAGCATTTGGGTTGGTTCCAAGTCTTTGCTATCTTGAATAGTGCTGCAATAAACATACGTGTGCATGTGTCTTTATCATAAAATGATTGATAATCTTTTGGGTGTATGGCCAGTAATGGGATTACTGGGTCAAATGGTATTTCTAGTTCTAGATCCTTGAGGAATCACCACACTATCTTCCACAATGGTGGAACTAATTTACACTCCAACCAACAGTGTAAAAGCGTTCCTATTTTTCCACAACCTCTCCAGCATCTGTTGTTTTCTGACTTTTAATGATCGCTATTCTACCTGGCATGAGATGGTATCTCATTGTGGTTTTGATTTGCATTTCTCCAATGATCAGTGATGATGAGCATTTTTTCATATGTTTGTTGGCTGCATAAGTGTCTTCTTTTGGAAGTGTCTGTTCACATGCTTTGCCCACTTTTTGATGGCGTTGCTTGCTTTTTTCTTGTAAATTTGTTTAAGTTCTTTGTAGATTCTGGATATTAGCCCTTTGTCAGATGGATAGATTGCAAAAATTTTCTCCCGTTCTATAGGTTTCCTCTTCACTCTGATGATAGTTTCTTTTGCAGTGCAGGAGCTCTTTAGTTTAATTGGATCCCATTTGTCAATTTTGGCTTTTGTTGCAATTGCTTTTGGTGTTTTAGTCATGAAGTCTTTGGCCATCCCTATGTCCTGAATGGTATTGCCCAGGTTTTCTTCTAGGATTTTTACAGTCCTAGGTCTTACATTTAAGTCTTTGATTCATTCTGTGTTGATTTTTGTATAAGGTGTAAGGAATGGGTTCAGTTTCAGTTTTCTGCATATGGCTAGCCAGTTTTCCCAACACCATTTATTCAATAGAAAATCTTTTCCCCATTTCTTGTGTGTGTCAGGTTTGTGAAAGATCAGATGGTGGTAGATGTGTGGTGTTATTTCTGAGGCCACCGTTCTGTTCCATTAGTCTGTATGTCTGTTTTGATGCCAGTACCATGCTGTTTTGGTTACTGTAGCCTTGTAGAATAGTTTGAAGTCAGGTAGTGTGATGCCTCCAGCTTTGTTCTTCTTGCCCAGGATTGTCTTGGCTATGAGGGCCCTTTTTTGGTTCCATATGAACTTTAAAATAGTTTTTTTCCAATTCTGTGAAGAAAATCAGTGGTAGCTTGATGGACATAGCATTGAATCTATAAATTACTTTGGTCAGTAAGGGCATTTTCAGGATGTTGATTCTTCCTATACATGTGCATGAAATGTTTTACCATTTGTTTGTATCCTCTCTTATTTCCTTGAGCAGTGGTTTGTAGTTTTCCTTGATGAGGTCCTTCACATCCCTTGTAAGTTGTACTGCTAGGTATTTTATTCCCTTAATAGCAAATGTGCATGGGAGTTCACTCATGATTTGACTCTGTTTGTCTGTTATTGGTGTATAGGAATGCTTATGATTTTTGCACATTGATTTTGTATCCTGAGACTTTGCTGAAAGTGCTTATCAGCTCAAGGAGATTTTGGGCTGAGACAATGGGCTTTTCTAAATATACAATCATGTCGTCTGCAAACAGAGACAATTTGACTTCCTCTTTTCCTATTTGAATACCATTTATTGCTTTCTCTTGCCTGATTGCCCTGGCCAGAACTTCCAACGCTATGTTAAATAGGAGTGGTGAGAGAGGGCCAGCTTGTCTTGTGCCGGTTTTCAAAGGGAATGCTTCCAGTTTTTGCCCATTCAGTAGGATATTGACTGTGGGTTTGTCATAAATAGCTCTTATTATTTTGAGATACGTTCTATTGATACCTAGTTTATTGGGAGTTTTTAGCATGAAAGGCTGTTGAATTTTGTCAATGGCCTCTTCTGCATCTATTGAGATAATCATGTGGTTTTTGTCTTTGGTTCTGTTTATGTGATGGATTACATTTATTGATTTGTGTATGCTGAATCAGCCTTGCATCCCAGGAATGAAGCCAACTTGATGGTGGTGGATAAGCTTTTTGATGTGCTGCTGGGTTCGGTTTGCCAGTATTTTATTGAGGATTTTTGCATCGAAGTTCATCAGGGATATTGGCCTAAAATTCTCTTTTTTTGTTGTGTCTCTGCCAGGCTTTGGTACCAGGATGATGCTGGCCTCATAAAATGAGTTAGGGAGGATTCCCTCTTTTTTATTGATCAGAATAGTTTCAGAAGGAATGGTACCAGCTCCTCTTTGTACCTCAGGTAGAATTCAGTTGTGAATCTGTCAGGTCCTGGACTTTTTTTGGTTGGTAGGCTATTAATTATTGCCTCAATTTCAGAACCTCTTATTGGTCTATTCAGATATTCAACTTCTTCCTGGTTTAGTCTTGGGAGGGTGAATGTGTCCAGGAGTTTATCCATTTCTTCTAGAATTTCTAGTTTATTTGTGTAGAGGTGTTTATAGTATTCTCTGATGGTAGTTTGTATTTCTGTGGGATCGGTGGTGATATACCCTTTATCATTTTTTATTGCATCTATTTGATTCTCCTCTCTTTTCTTCTTTATTAGTCTTGCTAGCAGTCTATTTTGTTGATCTTTTAAAAAAAATGGCTCCTGGATGCATTGATTTTTGAAGGGTTGTTTTGGTGTGTGTTTCTATCTTCTTCAGTTCTGCTCTGATCTTAGTTATGTCTAGTTTTCTGCTAGCTTTTGAATTTGTTTGCTCTTGCTTCTCTAGTTATTTTAATTGTGATATTAGGGTGTCAATTTTAGATATCTCCTGCTTTCTCTTGTCTGCATTTACTGCTATAAATTTCCCTCTACACACTGCTTTAAATGTGTCCCAGAGATTCTGGTATGTTTTGTCTTTATTCTCATTGGTTTCAAAGAATATCTTTATTTCTGCCTTCATTTCGTTATTTACCCAGTCGTCATTCAGTAGCAGGTTGTTCAGTTTCCGTGTAGTTGTGCGGTTTTCAGTGAATTAAACAAATTAAAAAAATTGTTTCTCATTCAAGAATGGTTTATTTATTTTATTCTTATTTATATTATTTGCATGATTCAATATTTATGAAATGTTCAAAACATTTCATGAGTGAGTTTCTTAATCCTGAGTTCTAATTTGATTGCACTGTGGTCTGAGAGATAGTTTGTTGTGATTTCTGTTCTTTTACATTTGCTGAGGAGTGTTTTACTTCCCAATTATGTGGTCAATTTTAGAATAAGTGTGATGTGGTTCTGAGAATAATGTATATTCTGTTGATTTGGGGTGGAGAGTTCTGTGGATATCTATTAGGTCGGCTTGGTCCAGAGCTGAGTTCAAGTCCCGGATATCCTTGTTAATTTTCTGTCTCATTGATCTGTCTAATATTGACAGTGGGGTGTTAAAGTCTCCCATTATTATTGTGTGGGAGTCTAAGTCTCTTTGTAGGTCTCTAAGAACTTGCTTTATGAATCTCGGAGCTCCTGCATTGGGTGCATGTATACTTAGGATAGTTAGCACTTCTTGTTGAATTGATCCCTTTACCATTATGTAATGGCCTTCTATGTCTCTTTTGATCTTTGTTGGTTTAAAGTCTGTTATATCAGAGACGAGGATTGTAACTCCTGCCTTTTTTTTTTTTTTTTTTTTTGCCTTCCATTTGCTTGGTAGATCTTCCTCCATCCCTTTATTTTGAGCCTATGTGTGTCTTTGCATGTGAGGTGGTTCTCCTGAATACAGCACACTGATGGTTCCTGACTCTTTATCCAATTTGTCAGTCTGTGCGTTTTAATTGGGGCATTTAGCACATTTACATTTAAGGTTAATATTGTTATGTGTGAATTTGATCCTGTCATTATGAGACTAACTGGTTATTTTGCCCATTAATTGATGCAATTTCTTCATAGCATTGATGGTCTTTACAATTTGGCATGTTTTTATAGTGACTGGTACTGGTTTTTCCTTTCCATGTTTAGTGCTTCCTTCAGGAACTCTTGTAAGGCAGGCCTGTGATGACAAAATCTCTCAGCATTTGCTTGTCTGTAAAGGATTTTATTTATTCTTCACTTATGAAGCTTAGTTTGGCTGCATATGAAATTCTGGGTTGAAAATTCTTTTCTTTAAGAATGTTGAATATTGGCCCCCACTCTCTTCTGGCTTGTGGAGTTTCTGCCAAGGAATCCACTGTTAGTCTGATGAGCCTCCCCTTGTGGGTAACCCGACCTTTCTCTCTGGCTGCCCTTAACATTTTTTCCTTCATTTCAACCTCAGTGAATCTGACAATTATTTGTCTTGGGGTTGCTTTTCTCAAGGAGTATCATTGTGGTGTCCTCTGTATTTCCTGAATTTGAATGTTGGCCTGCCTTCTTAGGTTGGGGAAGTTATCCTAGATAATATCCTCAAGAGTGTTTTGTAACTTGGTTCCGTTCTCCTCGTCACTTTCAGGTACACCTATCAAACATAAATTTGGTGTTTTCACATAGTCCCATATTTCTTGGAGGCTTTGTTCATTTCACTCTTTTTTCTCTAACCTTGTCTTCTCATTTTATTTCATTAATTTGATCTTCAATCACTGATATCCTTTCTTCTGCTTGTTCTATTCGGCTATTGAAGCTTGTGTTTGCTTCACTAAGTTCTCATACTGTGGTTTTCAGCTCCATCAGGTCATTTAAGCTCTTCTCTACGCTGGTTATTCTATTTAGCCATTTGTCTAATCTTTATTTTTAAATGTTTTTAGCTTCCTTGCGATGGGTTAGAACATGCTCCTTTAGCTTGGAGAAGTTTGTTATTACCAACCTTCTGAAGCCTACTTCTTACAACTCGTCAAACTCATTCCCCTTCCAGTTTTGTTCCTTTGCTGGTGAGTAGTTATGTTCCTTTGAAGGAGAAGAGGTGTTCAGGTTTTTGAAATTTTCAGCCTTTCTGCTCTGGTTTCTCCCCATCTTTGTGGTTTTATCTCCCTTTCGTCTTTGATGTTGGTGACCTACGGATGGAGTTTTGGTGTGGATGTCCTTTTTGTTGATGTTGATGCTATTCCCTTCTGTTTGTTAGTTTTCTTTCTAACAGACCTTCCCCTCAGCTACAGGTCTGTTGGAGTTTGCTGGAGGTCCACTCCAGACCCTGTTTGCCTGGGTATCACCAGCAGAGGCTGCAGAACAGCAAATATTGCTGCCTGATCCTTCCTCTGGACACTTCACCCCAGAGGGGCACCCACCTGTATGAGGTGTCTGTTGGCTGCTACTGGGAGGTGTCTCCCAGTCAGGCTACAGTGGGGTCAGGGACCCACTTGAGGAGCCAGTCTGTCCGTTATCGGAGCTCTAATGCCATGCTGGGAGAACCACTGCTCTCTTCAGAGCTGTCAGGCAGGGACATTTAAGTCTGCAGAAGCTGTCTGCTGCCTTTTGTTCAGATATGCCCTGCCCCCAGAGGTGGAATCTAGAGAGGCAGTAAGCCTTGCTGAGATGCAGTGGGCTCTGCCCAGTTCGAGGTTCCCTGCTGCTTTGTTTACACTGTGAGCATAGAACCTCCTACTCAAGACTCAGCAATGGTGAATGCCCCTCCGCCTGCCAAACTTCAGCGTTCCAGTTCGATCTCAGACTGCTGCACTAACACTAAGCAGGCATCAGTGGGCGTGGGACCCGCCAAACCAGGCACAGGAGGAAATCTCCTGGTCTGCCTGTTGCAAAGACCATGGGAAAAGAGCAGTATTTGGACAGGAGTGTACCACTCCTCTAGGTACAGTTGCTCACATCTTCCCTTGACTAGGAAAGGGAAATCCCCTGACCCCTTGCACTTCCTGGGTGAGGTGATGCCCCACCCTTCTTCAGCTTGCCCTCCATGGGCTGCACCCACTTCCCAACCAGTCCCAATGAGATGAATCAGGTACCTCACTTGGAAATGCAGAAATCACCTTGCACAGATCTTCTGCATTGATCTCGCTGGGAGCTGTAGACTTGATTGGTTCCTATTTGGCCATCTTGGAAGCTGGGCTGTTTATACTTTTTTAAGTGTGAGTAGTATTTATGATGTAGCCAGGATAACAAATTAAAAAATTGTTTCTCATTCAAGAATGGTTTATTTTATTCTTATTTATATTATTTACATGATTCAATTTTTATGAAATGTTCAAAACAAACAAATATATGCAAACACAAAGTAAACTACTTGTTGTCAGGCTGGAGGTGAATATTCTTAGTGATGATAAAATAATCATAGAGTTTACTTTTAGAGTTATGAAAATGTTCCAAAATGAGACTGTAGCAAAGGTCATGCAACTTTGTGAATATACTAAAAACCATTGACTTGGACACTTACAATAGGTGAATTTTATATTATAAATTATATATCAATAAAGCTGTTTGAGAAAAAAAGACTATTGTTATCAGAACTGTTTTTTTCTACAGATATAGGCACATAAATTAATAGAATGCAGCAGAGTCCAAAATTAAGTATGTCTGTCTATCTATCTATCTATCTACCTATCCATCTACCTACCAATCACTCTTCTGGGTATGTATCTAAAGGAAATAAAATCAGCACCTCATAGAAATATCTGTGCTCCCATGTTCATTATAGCATTATTCAAAATAGCCAATATATGAAAACAACCTTAGTGTCTCTGGAATTATGACTGCATAAAGGTATTGTGTTATACATACAATTGAATATTATTCACATTTTTAAAGGTAGATCCTGCCATTTGTGGCAACAGAGATGAACCTGGAGGACATTATGCTAAGTTAAATAAGCTAGACACAGAAAAAAAATGCTACTTGATTTCTCTATGTAGAATTTTAAAACAATCTAATAGAGAGTAGGATTGTTGTTATTACAGGTAAAGAGAAAATGGGGAGATGCACATCATAGGGTGTAAAGCTGCAGTTATGTAGCATAAATCTACACAGATAAAATACAGCATGAGGACTATAGTAAATACTACTGTATATTGACAATTTGCAAAAAGAATAGGTTTTATGTTCTTTTACCTCACAGAAGAAGATGACTATATGAGATAATGAATATGTTAACTGGCTTGACTGCAGTAATCAAGAATGGTTTAAATGCCACTCTAAATGGCAGTCCCTAATCCTTGCAAAACAATTTAGCTTTTATCTCCTTGAGCAGGTTTCCTTCCGGTAGCTCTAAAAAGGTGGTCTTTTCTATTTGTTAAAAGAACAGTTTATGTTTTCAACTATTTTTAGATCCAGACGTTGTCTAGGATTTCCTCAAACCAAGATGGTTTTATTTTCAATAATTTAGAGATTGTGCTGCAGTCTGTTAAAAGAAAAACTTCAGCCAAAGTAAATTTAAAGAAGTTTACTTGAGCAATGAGCGATTTGTAAATCAGGCAGCTCCCAGAATCACAGCAGATTCAGAGACTCCAGGGATGCCTCGTAGTCAACAAATTTATAGACAAAAAAAGGGAAGTGACGTACAGAAATTGGAAGTGAGGTACAGAAATAGCTGGGTTGTTGGTTGCAGGTTGGTGTTTGCCTTATTTGAACACTCAGCAGTGTATAAGTGGTTACTGTATGGCTGCTGAGATTGGCCAGACTGAGCTATTGTTACAAGCACATACTCCTAATTTAGGTTTTCAATCTTGTCTACCTATTAAATTAGGATACAGATGATAACCCACAGGGACTGAAATATAGAAGTATGGAGTCCTTCTCAGGCCATATTTAAGTCGCTTTAACCATTCCCCCCTTTAGGTCATCTTCTCAATTTTGAGAGATTGACCAAAACTTCAGTCATTGATGTCACTATTACTATTGGTATTGAAATCCGCTGGGAAACAATGAGTTGCAAAAGTAGGAACAAAGACTGAGTAAAGGTACCTCCTTATGCTTGAATGTTTTCTTACAAGAGAAAAACAAAGCCTGGTCTGTTCTAGGACCTATGTGTTTCCTTAAAATTTTAATTTGATTTTGTTACATTTAGCAAAAGCGATTCTATTTTTTTGTTTGTTTGTTTAGTCTGTTGGTGCCTAGTACGTGAGGTCAGTCCAAAACAGTGACCTCCCATAATTTTGTTTTTAAAAATTCTCTATTTGTAGTAAAGTTCTCACTTAAGTGACAGTGTGACAAAACTTAGGGCCTTAGCGCCACTCTCAGTTACCATTATTTTGGATTTCCCGTCTCAGCATGTCATTCATAGGTTACAGTGTCCACATGGTCGCACATTTCTTTCAGCTCTTGTCATTACAGTTTAAGAGAGATTATTTTACATTCTAGACATGGCTGCATGCAAACTTTTAAAATATTTGAGAGAATACTATGCAGCAGGGAGAATATTATTATGATTATTCGGATAATAATATCAAGAGTATGGAGTATGCTGCTAACCCAGAATCCCCATAAACCAAACCACATGAATTCAAATATATCAAAGAATGAGCTAGATAAAGAGTCTACTCACTTAACTAAGCAGTCTTTTCATTAATTCCCTAGAACAGAATCTCTATAACACGCAGTGTTTTCTCCATAGGCCATAAGTGCTAGTAGCTGCACAGATACTGCTATTTAGCCAGTAAGTAATCTAGAGCAATTCGATTATTTAGCTTAACTTTCACAAGAGACTGTAGAGTCTGCCGTGTAACCATAGCCTTTAAGGTAGAATCTGCTATAGAGCCTATCATGAGGGATACATTTATAACCATTGCCTGTTTTACTCCAAATCATAGAAAAATGACCTAACAAAGGATGCCCTTATAGAAGAATGAATGCTTCCTGGCAATGTTCAATTTAACCCATGATGTGGGTTAAAAGGAGTGAACTAGTGTTCTGTTTCTGATTGATTACAAGGCAGCGTATGTAACATTAAAGTTTCTCATCTACTTTGGGCCTTCTTCTTTTATCTATCAAAGAATAAAGTTATCAATGTATAAAGCTATCTGTAAAATCCTTCTCAAATAAAAGTATACCCAATAAGTGTAAATAACAGACCCCCTTTTCACTTCTGTTGTTCATAGAGGCATAAGCAAGGAAAAATATTTAAAGATAAGAGTTTCATGACAGTAGAGAAGTCTTGATCTAACATCTTGGGAAAAGCTGTTCACATCAGGGATGTCATCTTCTTCTGAGGAGAAACTTCCTTGATTAGTTTTACCTTAAGGGTTCCAATGGGTATACAGTTCCAAGAATGTGGAGAGAGCCTTCTCAGTTGTGAGATTATGTCGCAAGCTTCAAGGTCCCAAGGTTTTGTTGCAGTGCGGATGGCAAGGGCAGTCTTTCTATGATGTTTGCAGAAGATCCAGTCTTCAAGTTCTAGATTGCAAAGGGGTTGAATGTTCTCAGTGAACCATAAAGAGCTTTTTTTACCTGAAGAAAATACACTGTGGCATAATAATTAACTGTAATATCATCACCCCTCTTGCATGGGAAAGCTTTTATACAACCAGAAAACATGCATTGAAAATGATAATTTAATGAAATCTCTTTACAAATGTTTAAATGGCCGATCAGGTAGCCAAATATACTTGGAGCTTTGATATTGATTTGACAAACTAAAAATTGGTTATAAACTATTCTAGCTATTTATAAGCTGCCACACCAATATATTTAATTTGGATAATTTTATCTTTTCCATGATGAGCCATAGAATGCAGAAGTTTTAACAACATATGTTTGAAGGACTCAAGAAGAACAAGGTGGCCAACCTGGTTCTCCAAGGGTCTATGCTTAGTTAACATTAGACTTGCGTCCTCTTGAATACCAGTTGTTTTTCCAATTTAGGTGCATAGTGTTGATAACTGATTGGTTATCACCAGTAATTTGACTTAAACCATGGAGTTCGTTCAAATTGTATATGTAAACAATTTCAGTATTGGCTGATTCAGCATGCAAAGTTGGCAAAGTATTTCTTTTGTATTCAATTAATTTTTGTTCTAGTTGAGTTAGCAGTTTTGTAACCTAGGCAGCCTTTTCATTAAAGTTCCAGGAATTCTTACCCAGTTCGAATGATATGATTCTAAAGTTACGAGAAACCTGTATTTAAGAGTGCTTTTCAGGGCCCTTTCTATCCTTTCATGAACCTCCTAAAAACATATTCTAGGATTTTTGGTACTTGTGAAGTTTTCAGAAACTGCATCAACATTAAACAATTGAGTTAATATGCAAATGACTTTAAATGGTAATAGTTAAAGACCAAATTGACAAGAAAATTTGGTTATTTCTGTAGTCTGCAATAACTTAACACAATAAACATAATTATGATTGATAACATATACTTAGAAATATTAGAATATTAGAAACCCCATATGATTTGGAAACATATATTAATATTATTTACTAAAATATAACCTGAAGAAGGTTAAACATTATCTTTTATTTTGACAGTGTTTCCCATGTAACTAAACATGTCAAATAATTCTGTTTACTTATCTTTTGGATGCCTCATGGGCCCTCTGTAGCATTTCAAAGTTAGAGGTCAGAAAAGACAATTAGGAAGCTGAAATTTGATTTGGGGAAGCATATCAAACATGTTCAAAGTATAGGCATGGGCAAGGACTTCATGTCTAAAACACCAAAAGCAATGGCAACAAAAGACAAAATTGACAAATGGGATCTAATTAAACTAAAGAGCTTCTGCACAGCAAAAGAGACTACCATCAGAGTGAACAGGCAACCTACAAAATGGGAGAAAATGTTCGCAACCTACTCATCTGACAAAGGGCTAATATCCAGAATCTACAATGAACTCAAACAAATTTACAAGAAAAAAACAAACAACCCCATCAAAAAGTGGGCGAAGGACATGAACAGACACTTCTCAAAAGAAGACATTTATGCAGCCAAAAAACACATGAAAAAATGCTCACCATCACTGGCCATCAGAGAAATGCAAATCAAAACCACAATGAGATACCATCTCACACCAGTTAGAATGGCAATCATTAAAAAGTCAGGAAACAACAGGTGCTGGAGAGGATGTGGAGAAATAGGAACACTTTGACACTGTTGGTGGGACTGTAAACTAGTTCAACCATTGTGGAAGTCAGTGTGGCAATTCCTCAGGGATCTAGAACTGGAAATACCATTTGAGCCAGCCATCCCATTACTGGGTATATACCCAAAGGACTATAAATCATGCTGCTATAAAGACACATCCACAGGTATGTTTATTGCGGCATTATTCACAATAGCAAAGACTTGGAACCAACCCAAATGTCCAACAATGATAGACTGGATTAAGAAAATGTGGCACATATACACCATGGAATACCATGCAGCCATAAAAAATGATGAGTTCATGTCCTTTGTAGGGACATGGATGAAATTGGAAATCATCATTCTCAGTAAACTATCGCAAGAACAAAAAACCAAACACCGCATATTCTCACTCATAGGTGGGAATTGAACAATGAGATCACATGGACACAGGAAGGGGAATATCACACTCTGGGGACTGTTGTGGGGTGGGGGGAGTGGGGAGGGATAGCATCCGGAGATATACCTAATGCTAGATGACGAGTTAGTGGGTGCAGTGCACCAGCATGGCACATGTATACATATGTAACTAACCTGCACAATGTGCACATGTACCCTAAAACTTAAAGTATAATAAAAAAAAAATTGGATCAGAAAAAATCGCAAATAATATTGAATCTAAAAGAAAATTTTGATGAGAAGTAGGATATTTACATTGTCTAAAATATGTCCCCAAAGATTGCTATTAGTTGCAATCAAGAGAAAGGAATCACAGTAATTACACAGTGAAGAAATTGCACACCGCTTTGACCAAGTTGTCAAAAGTAACATTACTAACAAGAGACAGATGGACATTGTAGACCTGCAGGTGTGAAATCCTGAGATGGATACACCATCCCCCGTGGATTATTCTGGACAAGAATGCATATTCTGAATCTCAAGGAACTTCTCAGGCAAACACTAAATGAGGAACATTCTATTAACCTTCAAATATATTGGCTTACTGAAGCACTATGGAAAATTATGAAGATGTTCTAGATTTTTTTTAAAAAGGCTAAAACGTGCAGACAACTAAATTCAATACTTTACCATACTGGATCTTATAATGCAGAAGAAAAAAGTTATGAAGCAATTATTGGGTTAACTAACAAAATTGGAATACAAACAGCTGATTAAACTATTTTATCTATCTCACATTATAATGAAGTTGATTACTGTATGATCTTTATGTAAGAACACATCCCTGTTCATAGGAAATATGCACTAAAGAATTTAGTGGTAAAAGATTAGAAAGAGGGAAATGTTTACAACTGAAAAATGTAGGTGACATTATGTGAATGTACTTTGTAATTTTCTTGTGACTTTAAGTTTGAAATTATTTACATGTAAGAAGACTTGAAAAAAGAATAGTAGTTTTATAAAAAAAATCTGAGAGCTGTTAAATTTTGTTAGAGCTGTTAAATTCCTGTGAGTGGTGGGGCTGCCAGTATATAAAGAGAGTGGGTTCAGAAAAGTGGTAGTAGTGCTAACAGTGGCATTTAGTAGGTATACTCTAAAATGCAACAACAAAAAAGAAAACTTGTTTGAAGTGACTTTTTTTTTTCTTAAAGTTCTGGGATATATGTGCAGGTTTGTTACATAGGTATACACGTACCATGGTGGTCTGCTGCACTCATAAACCTGTCGTCTACATTAGGTATTTCTCCTAATGCTATCCCTCCCCTACTCCCACACCCCCTGACAGGCCCTGGTGCATGATATTCCCCTTCCTGTGTCTATGTGTTCTCATTGTTTAACTCCCACTTATGAGTGAGAACATGAGGTGTTTGGTTTTCTGTTCCTGTGTTAATTTGTGGAGAATGATGGTTTCCGGCTTCATCCATGTCCCTAAAAAGGACATGAGCTCATCCTTTTTCATGGCTGCATAGTATTCCATGGTGTATATGTGCCATATTTTCTTTATCCAGTTTATCATTGATGGGCATTTGGGCTGGTTCCAAGTCTTTGCTACTGTGAACAGTGCTGCAATAAACATACATGCCCATGTGTCTTTATAGTAGAATGATTTATAATCTTTTGGGTATATACCCAGTAATAAGATTGCTGAGCCAAATGGTATTTCTGGTTCTAGATCCTTGAGGAATCACCACACTGTCTTCCACAATAGGTAACCTAATTTGCACTCCCACCGACAGCGTAAAGGCCTTCCTATTTCTCCATGTCCTCTCCAGCATCTGTTGTTTCCTGATTTATAATTATCGTCATTCTAACTGGTGTGAGATGGTATCTCATTGTGGTTTTGGTTTGCATTTCTCTAAGGACCATCGATGATGAGCTTTTTTTCTTATGTTTGTCGGCTGCAAAAATGTCTTCTTTTCTGGCCAGGGCAATCAGACAGGAGAAGGAAATAAAGGGTATTCAATTAAGAAAAGAGGAAGTCAAATTGTCCCTGTTTGCAGATGACATGATTGTATATCTAGGAAACCCCATTGTCTCAGCCCCAAATCTCTTTAAGCTGATAGGCAACTTCAGCAAAGTCTCAGGATACACAATCAATGTGCAAAAATCAGAAGCATTCTTATATACCAATAACAGACAAACAGAGAGCCAAATCATGAGTGAACTCCCATTCACAATTGCTTCAAAGAGAATAAAATACCTAGGAATCCAACCTACAAGGGATGTGAAGGACCTCTTCAAGGAGAACTACAAACCACTGCTCAATGAAATAAAAGAGGATACAAACAAATGGAAGAACATTCCATGCTCATGGGTAGGAAGAATCAATATCGTGAAAATGGCCATACTGCCCAAGGTAATTTAAAGATTCAATGCCATCCCCATCAAGCTACCAATGACTTTCTTCACAGAATTGGAAAAAACTACTTTAAAGTTCATATGGAACCAAAAAAGAGACCGCATAGCCAAGTCAATCCTAAGCCAAAAGAACAAAGCTGGAGGCATCACACTACTTGACTTCAAACTATACTACAAGGCTACAGTAACCAAAACAGCATGGTACTGGTATCAAAACAGAGATATAGACCAATGGAACAGAACATAGCCCTCATAAATAATGCTGCATATCTACAACTATCTGATCTTTGACAAACCTGAGAAAAACAAGCAATGGGGAACGGATTCCCTATTTAATAAATGGTGCTGGGAAAACTGGCTAGCCATATGTAGAAAACTGAAACTGGTGTGAGATGGTATCTCATTGTGGTTTTGATTTCATTTCTCTGATGGCCAGTGATGGTGAGCATTTTTTCATGTGTTTTTTGGCTGGCAATCATTAAAAAGTCAGGAAACAACAGGTGCTGGAGAGGATGTGGAGAAATAGGAACACTTTTACACTGTTGGTGGGACTGTAAACTAGTTCAACCATTGTGGAAGTCAGTGTGGCGATTCCTCAGGGATCTAGAACTAGAAATACCATTTGACCCAGCCATCCCATTACTGGGTATATACCCAAAGGACTATAAATCATGCTGCTATAAAGACACATGCACACGTATGTTTATTGCGGCATTATTCACGATAGCAAAGACTTGGAACCAACCCAAATGTCCAACAATGATAGACTGGATTAAGAAAATGTGGCACATATACACCATGGAATACTATGCAGCCATAAAAAATGATGAGTTCATGTCCTTTGTAGGGACATGGATGAAACTGGAAACCATCATTCTCAGCAAACTATCGCAAGGACAAAAAACCAAACACCACATATTCTCACTCATAGGTGGGAACTGAACAATGAGAACACATGGACACAGGAAGGGGAACATCACACTCTGGGGACTGTTGTGGGGTGGGGGGAGGGGGGAGGGATAGCATTGGGAAATATACCTAATGTTAGATGACGAGTTAGTGGGTGCAGTGCACCAGCATGGCACATGTATACATATGTAACTAACCTGCACATTGTGCACATGTACCCTAAAACTTAAAGTATAATAATAGTAAATAAATAAATAAACAAAAGACAACTGAAACTGGATCCCTTCCTTACACCTTATACAAAAATTAATTCAAGATGGATTAAAGACTTAAATGTTAGACCTAAAACCATAAAAACCCTAGAAGAAAACCTAGGCAATACCATTCAGGACATAGGCATGGGCAAGGACTTCATGTCTAAAACACCAAAAACAATGGCAACAAAAGACAAAATTGACAAATAGGATCTAATTAAACTCAAGAGCTTCTGCACAGCAAAATAAACTACCATCAGAGTGAACAAGCAACCTACAGAATGGGAGAAAATTTTTGCAATCTTCTCATCTGATAAAGGGCTAATATCCAGAATCTACAATGAACTCAAACAAATTTACAAGAAAAAAACAAACAACCCCATCAACAAGTGGGCAAAGGATATGAACAGACACTTCTCAGAAGAAGACATTTTTGCAGCCAAAAGACACATGAAAAAATGCTCATCATCACTAGCCATCAGAGAAATGCAAATCAAAACCAAAATGAGATACCATCTCACACCAGTTAGAATGGTGATCATTAAAAAGTCAGGAAACTACAGGTGCTGGAGAGGATGTGGAGAAATAGGAACACTTTTACACTGTTGGTGGGACTGTAAACTAGTTCAACCATTGTGGAAGTCAGTGTGGCGTTTCCTCAGGGATCTAGAACTAGAAATACCATTTGACCCAGCCATCCCATTGCTGGGTATATACCCAAAGGATTATAAATCATGCTGCTATAAAGACACATGTACACGTATGCTTATTGCAGCACTATTCACAATAGCAAAGACTTGGAACCAACCCAAATGTCCAACAATGATAGACTGGATTAAGAAAATGTGGCACATATACACCATGGAATACTATGCAGCCATAAAAAATGATGAGTTCATGTCCTTTGTAGGGACATGGATGAAGCTGGAAACCATCATTCTCAGCAAACTATCGCAAGGACAAAAAACCAAACACTGCATGTTCTCACTCATAGGTGGGAATTGAACAATGAGAACACATGGACACAGGGCGGGGAACATCACACACCGGGGCCTGTTGTGGGGTGGGGGGAGGGGGAGGGATAGCATTGGGAGATATACCTAATGTTAAATAATGTGTTAATGGGTGCAGCACACCAACATGGCACATGTATACATATGTAACCTGCATATTGTGCACATGTACCCTAAAACTTAAAGTATAATAAAAAAAAGTCTTCTTTTGAGAAGTATCTGTTCATATCCTTCGCTCACTTTTTGATGGGGTAGTTTTTTTTTCTTATAAATTTGTCTAAGTTCTATGTAGCTTCTGGATTTTAACACTTTGTCAGATGGATAGATTGCAAAAATCTTCTCCCATGAAAGAACTAGAGAAGCAAGAGCAAACAAATTCAAAAGCTAGCAGAAGACAAGAAATAACTAAGATCAGAGCAGAACTGAAGGAGATAGAGAGAAGAAAAACCCTTCAAAAAAATCAATGAATCCAGAAGCTAGTTTTTTGAAAAGATTAACAAAACAGATAGACCGCTAGCCAGATTAATAAAGAAGAAAAGAGAGAATAATGAAATAGACACAATAAAAAATGATAAATGGGATATCACCACTTATGCCACAGAAATACAAACTACCATCAGAGAATACTATAAACCCTTCTATGCAAATAAACTAGAAAACCTAGAAGAAATGGATAAATTCCTGAACACATACACCCTCCCAAGACTAAACCAGGAAGAAGTCGAATCCCTGAATAGACCAATAACAAGTTCTGAAGTTGAGTCAGGAATTAATAGCCTAGCAACAAAAAAAAGACCAGGACCAGATGGATTCATAGCCGAATTCTTCCAGAGGTACAAAGAATAGCTGGTACCACTCCTTCTGAAACTATTCCAAACTACAGAAAAAGAGGGACTCCTCCCTAACTCATTTTATGAGGCCAGCATCATCCTGATACCAAAACCTGACAGAGACACAACAACAACAAAAAAGAAAATTCCAGGCCAATATCCCTGATGAACATCGATGTGAAAATCTCAATAAAATCCTGGCAAACCGAACCGAGCACCACATCCAAAAGCTTATCCACCACGACCAAGTCGGCTTCATCCCTGGGATGCAAGGCTGGTTCAACACACACAAATCAATAAACGTAATCCGTCATATAAACAGAACCAATGAAAAAAACCACATGATTATCTGAATAGATGCAGAAAAGGCCTTCAGTAAAGTTCAACTCCCCTTCATGCTGAAGTGATTTCTTAAAAGCCACTTCTTTAAGTTAGTCTGACCAGTTTCCTCTCTCTTGGCTGTAAGGTCTGTTGATCTGGTAGGTTTGTTATTGAGAAATGTAACTTTGTATCTGCTTTCATATCTACACTTCTCCTGTTTCCTCCTCCATTCAGCAAAAAGTACAGAGAATAATGCCTCTCAAATAAGGCCCCTGAAAACTTAAGCGTAGACTACTGGTCCCAACTCTAGCTCTACTAACTTCCAGTTTCTGAGATTTATTCCCAGTAATCTGCAATTGCAAACAAGCACTCCAGGTTATTCTTATGTACCCCAAAGTTTGAAAAACATTTATAGGGTAGTTGATAGTGCTTCAAGTTACTTTAGCTGCAAGATATTTCTTAATATAAAAAATAAGCTATTCGCTCTCATTGCAGCTATTTAAACTTGTTTTCAGAGCATCAAGTAGTGTTTCTTAAAATGTGATACAAACGCTAACAGCATCAGAAACATCTTGGGGTGTCCTGAAAAATAAATACCTCAATTTCGCTCTAGACTTAGTGTTAGCCAAAATACCTGGCATTGAAAGCTAGTGATCTGAATTTTATAAACAACTATGGTAATTTCTTAAAATCTAATATTCTAGAACCGCTCTTGTGGCCTTTTTTCTACAATACTATGGTTTAAGATAATTCAATTCACTTAGGCCTGATTATTTGTGTTGCTTGTTCATGATTAGATTTCTGGCCATGCAAATGACTCCTGGAAAAACCTTTCTTATAATAACTACAGGACTTAAACCTTGCAATAAAATGAACAGTTTTTGTAGTGCACTATACTTTATAAATGTGAGCTGTAAAACTGTAAAACTAAACCATCAAAAAAATTGGCTTTTCATTAGTTTCCTTATATTTTTACGTACACATTTTTAAAAATTGACACTGTGCTGCATTATAATTAGAGGTAGAGAAAAATAAAAAGCCATAACCAGGAGATAAGCTTCCTTTTAAGGACCGTTGTGAAGCACATGGCAAGAAAACCATGGAAGAACAGTTGGCCCACCTCTCTGTAACTTCAAATATGTCTCTGTAGTGGTTCAGTCACTTATATACTTACAAACAGCTCAATTTAATAGACTGGTCCAGGAAGCGTTTACCAAAACCTCCTATGGCTTCTGTTAAGATTTGAATTTTTAAAACTGATTTATGATTGGCAGACTAGACATAAGAAGGGATTTTTCATGGGATCTGAAGCTTTTGTTTGCTGACTTTATAGATAAACATAAATTCTACTGCAAATTGCATCAACCATTTTCTACTTGATTTGCACTAAGTAAGCAGTTAGATCTCCATATGGCCAATCTGATTACAGTGATAATTTTGGTCTACAACAAACAAATTGGATTGAGCATGAGTCAAATGTAATTGATTTCCTGGTTATCAGATATTCCAAAGGACACTATAAAAATAACATAACCAGTTATTTTCTTCCTAAGGCAATATTGACAAAAAAAAAAACTTTGAAAAAGTATGTATATGCTCATAATTATTTATACATATTTTACCCATACAATTTGTTTCTACGTTAAATAATTTATACCAGCCAGAAACAAAAGTAAAAACTCTTAACTAGTCAAAAAAAATAAATCCCTAATCCTAAACTGGAATTAAGCAGAAAATATTGGAGTAGGCTGCACATAGACACTTATCCTTAAGCACTCCTTTTCTCAAAATAGTCTACAAAAATAAAACCCTGGAAAAAAAGTGGCAATTGTGAATAACCTCCTTATATAATTAGTTATAAAGTAAAACTCAAAAATTTAAAGGGATTGTGACTTATTTAGCCACGCTAGAAGTAGACCGAAGGGAACCCACACAGTTGGTATGTATCGGCTGACCATAGCTCAGGAGAAAGGGGCTTCTCTTATAGATGTTTTACTTCTCATGACGCTAAAGACTTTTCTGAAAACATGAGTGGTTGAGATCCATTAATACGATGAGAAAATTTTGTGAAACAGAAAAAGTCAGTTTAAGAAACAGCAAGATAACAGTAGCAGGCAATTTGCTTTTTAACCTTGAATAGTTACAAATATTTATCAATTGAGGATAAATGATTTTTTGAAAATAATATATATATTTTTTGAAAAAATATATATGTATATATGCATATATATGTGTGTGTATATATAGTGTGTGTGTGTGTGTGTGTGTGTGTGTATACATAAAACCAGTGAATGTGGCTGCAACATACTTCTCCTTTCACAATGTTTTGCATCTATGTCAGCATTGGGTATGGGTAGACAGTATGTCAATGATCAAGCCAAGGAGATGGCCCTGGAAAGGGCAGATACATCCCTAGGGATAACAGACAAGCAGGCAGTAGGGTACACATGGGTGCCTGGCATAAGAGCAGGCCAGGAGTGTGCAGCAAATGGTAAGCAAGCATCAGGATGGTGAAAACTACAGTAGTTCAGCAGTCAAGGCAGACAGGAGAGTTAGAGGCCAAGGAATCATAGAATCCTAGTTCTGGCAGGGACCTAAAAACAACCTCTATTGGTATTACCTACTACCTTCACTGTAAAGTGAAGAATAAAGCAGAACTGAAGCCCACAGATAGAAAGTAACTTGTCTAGGGTCACACAGCAAACTGGAAACACAAAGGTGACTGCAATCCATATATTTTGTTTCTCAGGCCAGTGCTATTGTCAACACATGACACTATTTTCTATAGTTGACTGAAACGTAATTTTGCTCAGTGCCTACTGTGTACAAACACACCGTGCTAGATTACAAAAGGAGTGTCAAGAAATCAAAAGTAAGTACAATAAGCTGGCACAGTCAATAATAGCTAATTGCTCATATTTATTGAGCATGCATCATTTGTTAGGCACTGGGCTAATTGCTTGAGATACCTAGTATTATTTAATTTTCACAAATACCCAATATGTATGGGTATTTGTTATACATATTGTATGTATTACATATGCACATGTAATAGTCCCATTCCACAGATGGGAGAAATTGAGGCTTAGGGAAGAAAAGTAATTTTCCCTCGACTACATTGCTAATCAATGCTGAAGCTGGGCTTGTGAGGCTTCCTGACTTTCTATCCTTAACACCTAACTTCCTTTTTATGCTAAAGTTAACCCCTATACTGCATATAGGGTATTCTGTGGCTCCTAGTCTAGAAGATTAAAATTGGAGTCTGCGACTGAGAAGAAATGGTACCAGTAGGCACAGGGGCAAAGAGCAGAAGCTTCGGACGAGTAAACCCTGACACTATATGAAGTGAATTCTGTATGAAATACCTTTGTTTTAAAGTTGTTGTTTTTTTATTATTGAAGATAATATATACTTAGAGTAGAAAATGTCAAATATGGAGAAAGGTGCATAGATAACATATCCCTGAAATCTGTAATAATCTCAGTACATAGATGTAGAAGTGAAAGTCGTTATCACTGTATAATTCTTTTTCAGTGTGTGTGAGTGTATGTAAAAATGCACAAATGTGTATACGACCTTGATTTATTATTTTTAAACCCAGAAGTATATAGTTTTATAACTTTTACATAACAATATGAGCATTTTCTGTATCTGCAAATATTCAACACCATGATTTTAATAACTATATAGTATTTTATTATATTAATATATCTTACTTTATTTAATTAATTCTTCTATTGTAAATATTTAGGTTGTTTATAGGTGTTTTGTGTGATTTTAAAAACCTGCGGTTGTTGGTATATTTCTGATCACTTTGTTTCTTTTTTTTACAATTATACTTTAAGTTCTGGGATACATGTGCAGAACATGCAGGTTTGTTACATAGATATAGACGTGCTATGGTGGTTTGTTGCACCCATCAACCCCTCATCTACATTAGGTATTTCTGCTAATGCTAAAGCTCCCCTAGCCCCCGACTCCCCAACAGGCCCCGGTGTATGATGTTCCCCTCCCTGTGTCCATGTGTTCTCATTGTTCAACTCCCACTTATGAGTGAGAACATGCGGTGTTTGGTTTTCTGCTCCTGTGTTAGTTTGCTGAGAATGTTGGTTTCCAGCTTCATCCATGTCCCTGCAAAGGACATGAACTCATCCTTTTTTATAGCTGCACAGTATTCCATTGTGTATATATGCCACATTTTCTTTATCCATTCTATCATTGATGAGCATTTGGGTTGGTTCCAAGTCTTTGTTATTGTGAACAGCACTGCAATAAACATACGTGTGTATGTGTCTTTGTTTCTATTTCTCCACATCCTCTCCAGCACCTATTGTTTCCTGACTTTTTAATGATCACCATTCTAACTGGCATGAGATGGTATATCATTGTGGTTTTGATTTGCATTTCTCTAATGACCAGTGATGATGAGCTGTTTTTCATATGTTTGTTGGCCACATAAATGTCTTATTTCTAGAAGTGTCTGTTTATATCCTTTGTCCACTTTTTGATGGGATTGTTTGTTTTTTTCTTGTAAATTTGTTTAAGTTCTCTGTAGATTCTGGACATTAGCCTTTTGTCAAATGAATAGATTGCAAAAATTTTCTCCCATTCTCTAGGATCCTGTTCATTCTGATGATAGCTTCTTTTGCTGTGCAGAAGCTCTTTAATTTAATTAGATCCCATTTGTCAATTTTGGCTTTTGTTGCCATTGCTTTTGGTGTTTTAGACATGAAGTCCTTGCCCATGCCTATGTCCTGAATGGTATTGCCTAGGTTTTCTTCTAGGGTTTTTATAGTTTTACATCTTACATTAAAGTATTTAATGCATCTTGAGTTAATTTTTGAATAAGGTGTTAGGAAGTGGTCCAGCTTCAGTTTTCTGCATATGGCTAGCCAGTTTTCCCAACACCATTTATTAAATAGAAAATCGTTTCCCCATTGCTAGTTTTTGTCAGATTTGTCAAAGATCAGATTGTTGTAGATCTGTGGCGTTATTTCTGAGGACTCTGTTCTGTTCCATTGGTCTATATATTTGTTTTGGTACCAGTATCACGCTGTTTTGGTTACTGTAGCCTTGTAGTATAGTTTGAAGTCAGGTAGCGTGATGCCTCCAGCTTTGTTCGTTTTGCTTAGGATTGTCTTGGCTATACGGGCTATTTTTTGTTTCCATATGAAATTTAAAGTAGATGTTTCTAATTCTGTGAAGAAAGTCAGTGGTAGCTTGATGGGGATAGCATTGAATCTATGAATTGCTTTGCTAAGTATGGCCATTTTCATGATATTGATTAAAGCAGGAAAGATCTAAAATCGACACCCTAACATCACAATTAGAAGAACTAGAGAAGCAAGAGCAAATTCAAAAGCTAGCAGAAGACAAGAAATAGCAAAGATCAGAGCAGAACTGAAGGAGATAGAGACAGGAAAAACCCCTTAAAAAATCAATGAATCCAAGGGCTGGTTTTTTGAAAAGATTAACAAAATAGGTAGACCGCTAGCCAGACTAATGAAAAGAGAGAAGAATGAAATAGACACAATAAAAAATGATAAAGGGGATATCACCACTTATTCCACAGAAATACAAACTACCATCAGAGAATACTATAAACCCCTCTATGCAAATAAACTAGAAAATCCAGAAGAAATACATAAATTCCTGGACACATACACCCTCCCAAGACTAAATTAGAAAGAAGTTGAATCCCTGAATAGACCAATAACAAGTTCTGAAACTGAGGCAGTAATTAATAGCCTACCGACCAAAAAAAGCCCAGGACCAGACAGATTCACAGCCGAATTCTACCAGAGGTACAAAGAGGAGCTGGTACCATTCCTTCTGAAACTATTCCAAACTATGGAAAAAGAGGGACTCCTCTCTAACTAATTTTATGAGGCCAGCATCATCCTGATGCCAAAACCTGGCAGAGACACAACAATAACAAAAGAAAATTTTAGGCCAATATCCCTGATGAACATCGATGCAAAAATCTCAATAAAATCCTGGCAAACCGAATCCAGCAGCACATCCAAAAGCTTATCCACCATGAACAAGTTGGCTTCATCCCTGGGATGCAAGGCAGATTCAACATATGCAAATCAATAAGCGTAATCCATCACATAAACAGAACCAATGACAAAAACCACATGATTATCTCAATAGATGCAGAAAAGGCCTTCGATAAAATTCAACACCCCTTCATGCTAAAAATTCTCAATAAACTAAGTATTGATGGAATGTATCTCAAAATCATAAGAACTGTTTATGATAAACCCACAGCCAATATCATACTGAATGGGCAAAAGCTGTAACTATTCCCTTTGAAAAACAGCACAAGACAAGGATGCCCTCTCTCACCACTCCTGTTCAACATAGCATTGGAAGTTCTGGCCAGGGCAGTCAGGCAAGAGAAAGAAATAAAGGGTATTCAAATAGGAAAAGAGGAAGTCAAATTGCTCTGTTTGCAGATGACATGATTGTATGTTTAGAAAACCCCATCGCCTCGGCCCAAAATCTCCTTAAGCTATAAGCAAATTTAGCAAAGTCTCAGGATATAAAATCATTGTGCAAAAATCACAGGCATTCCTATACATGAATAATAGACAAACAGGGGGCCAAATCATGAGTGAACTCTCATTCACAATTGCTACAAACAGAACAAAACACCTCGGAAAACAACTCACAAGGGATGTGAAGGACCTCTTCAAGGAGAACTACAAACCACTGCTCAAGGAAATAAGAGAGGACACAAACAAATGGAGAAACATTCCATGCTCATGGATAGAAAGATCACTTTTTTTAGGTAAAGTTCTAGAGTGAGAATCAGGGGACAAAATGTATATACATTATTAAGACTCTTGATTTATGTTGTCAAATTGCTTTGTAAAAATGCTATATTGTTTCAAATTCAACAACCAATATTTGATGACATCCATTTTTTGCTCTTTCCTCCATGTTTTACCTCTTGAATGATTGAATGGTACCCTGTTTGGGGGATATACTTTATAAACATTGAAATAATACTTAATGTTATTCTATGATCATGCTCGTTTCCTCAAATGCTTATTTAAAGTCAAACATTCAAATTGAGATTAGTGATTATGTAATTGGATTAATATGAGTGTATTTGAGCCTCTAAGAAAACCATATTTTCCAATTAGAATAAAGATGTAGCTGATGATGAGGTGGATGATGATGATGATGATAATTCAGGTGAATATCATTATTATTCATCCTGTGGTTAGGAATATTAAAGGTTATACAACTAATTTGTGGTAAAGCTGGGCATGAAACCGTCATCAGTTTGACTCCAAAGTATGTGAGCTGAAGCAATAAGTACTACCTGTCCCTTCACTGATTTGTACATCAAAAGCCCTACGATGCCTTTCTACCCTTTTCCTGGATGCTGAATAGACAAAAAAGTAAAACAGGCTTATTCATCTAGAATAATTTCAGATGAGAAAGTGAGAACATTAGCCTTTTTTTCCCCACCAATTCTCAAATTATGTCTACATCATAAGTATTCTCCACTCAGTAATGCTACAAAATATGTCAACTAAGGATCTATTTTCGTTTGAGAAATTCCTCCATTAAAACAAAATTACTCTATTAAGATAACATTGGGGATGTTTGATGTGGAGAGAAAAGAGGTAATTTGGCTACTTGAGAAATTCTGAGACAGGCTCAGGTTTACCTGCCTGTGGTGGGGGCAATAGTGAGCAACCAGAGGCATTTTTTTAAAATTATTTTTTATTTTATTGATACATAATATTTGTACATACTTATGCGTTGCATATGCTATTTTGTTACATACATAAAATTTGTAAGGATCAAGTCAGGGCAATTAGGATATCCATCACCTCAAGTAGGTATCATTTATATGTATTGAGAATATTTCAAGTCCTCTCTTGCAGCTATTTTTAAATATATAACACATTGTTGTAAACTATAGTCACCCTATTCTGCTATTGAATAGCAGAATAATTTCTTCCTTCTATCTAATTATGTTTGTATACATTAACTAGCCTCTCTTTCCGCCTAACTCCACCCAACACCCTTCCCAGACTCTGGTAAATACTATCCTGCTGTTTACCTCTATGAGATAAACTTTTTAGCTTACACACATGAGTGAGAACATGTGATATTCATCTTTCTATGTCTGGCTTATTTCATTTAACATAATGACCTCCAGTTCCATTCACATTGCTGCAAATGGCAGGATTTCATTTTCTATGGCTGAATAGTATTACATTGTGTATATATACCACATTTTCTTTATCCATTTGTCCACTGATGAAGGCTTAGGTTGATTCCATATTTTGGCTATTATGAATAGTGCTGCAATAAACATGAAAATGCCAGTGCCCCTTTAATACATTAATTTCTTTTTTTTGATATACATCCAATAGTGGGATTGCTGGATTGTAGGGTAGTTCTCTTTTCAGTTTTAAAACTAATCTTCATACTGTTTTCTATAGAGATAGAGGACATTTTGAGGGCACTGACAATATAGCTGGCTAAGAGGGAGAGGCGAGGAGTAGAAAAGGCACAGAAAGAAAAATGGAAGGGCACGTAAATATACCTTGACAGTTTTCCTGACACCTAAATAGTCATCTTCAAGTATCTATCTGTGGGCACACTATTTCCATTTCAATATCAAATTTTATTTTTTAATGTTATTTTATTGCTATGTTACAATCTGTTTTCTTTTCCTAGGCTTAGAAATTAGTAGGATGAATAGATGATATTATCTTTATTCACATACCACTCAATATCACGTGAATTCTTTTAACTTTAGCTTCCCTTAGCTTTGCTAAACCAGTAAAACACATATAGAGGGACACATATTTTGTGACTATTTGCATTGACACAACATCAATTGTAAACCACAATTATATTTCAGGGAGATAATTAAATTATAACTTTAACAAGTACTTTTAACTAAGATCTTAAAAAAACTGGAGATTTTGGAAGTAAATATGTGACTCTATGTGAAAAAAATATGTACTAAGTAAAGAAAACTATTGATTTTTATTAAAGTGATTCAGTCACTGGTAAGTGACTCGGTGTGCTAAAACATACCTAATGTTATGGTGTATGTAATGTTTCAACATTTCCTTTCATCATACCTTGGGAAGTAACACACATTAGGCTCTGTTGGTATAAGGAATAAGACAAATTTTGTCTTCATATATAGATTACTTGGTACAACTAAGTTGACTAAAGTGATAAGAATTTATAACATCTGAAACACAGGCACTTTAGGATGGATTCATATTATTGACCTTAGGTAACTCTCCCCTTTAATGATAACTGAGTTCTCTAAGTCCCCTTAATAAAAGTACCATTAACTATGTAGAAAATACAAATTGTTATTTTCTAATTAAACATACTGTCAACTTATGGATTTATCATTAATGATTCTTTATACATTTTTCAAGGGTCTGATTAATATGATCAATATTCTAGTGTTAATAGTCGGAGAATATCACTTTCTGACTAGGTGCTACTTCTTAATGATGTCGTTCTGAAAGCAACATTCGTCCTTTGTAAGTTTATGAATCAAGGCCAAGAAAGCAACTCAATGAAAGCAAGTTTCTTAAAATGTAATGAAAGTGACAAAAATCCAAAATTTGATTATTGGGTAAGTAGTTTCTCAGGTTTTCTGATGATTATGCCTCTGTGATACTAAAAAGAATTTTTGCATAATGAACAAGAATCTCTCTACATGAGCCACCTGAGAGGCAGGAAAAATGGTCTGTGTCAAGTAACTACACACAAAAATGAACTAAACAACAGCCGTCTGTACAAAAAAGGACACCATTTTAAGTATAGTTTTAGGGAAAGATAAATAAAATTGTAATTTTACACCATTCTGGGACATTTCACTTTGTTTTTGTTTGTTTGTTTGTTCGTTTGTTTTACCTTGATTTTAAAAGATAAAAAAAAACTAAGACAGAATTTTATAGTTTTGGAGGCTTTAGAAGTGGGTAATAGTATCATTCTCATATTTTTAAACTGACCTTCCAGAGGAAAATTTAGAGGGATTTTCCTCCACAGGCAATCAACACAGAAGTAGTTATTCATCTGGGAATTTACAGCACCACTGTAACTTTCAATTAGCAAAACATACATTAAAAGCTGCTGTAAACCACTCCAGGAGGCCTGCTGATGGCTATGATTAATGGCTGTGCATCTACAGCTACTGCACATAGGTCTTAACAGAGCTATTTGTAAATTGTCAGCACAAACTCATGCAACCTCAGGTTATCAATCAGAAAGGTATGCATTGGAGTTGGTTAATTACAGCCCTTCTTCTGTGGCACTAGGAAGTGTATAATATTTTTCAATGACTGAAAACTGTCAAAGACTAGTTTTGAAATTAATTTGCAAGCAAAACGTTACAATAGAAGCTTACTTGTTTCTTCCTGTGTGTTAGGTCTCCCAAAGAAAAAATAGGTCTTACTTAAGTGTATAAAGCTTCCTCTTTTCCAATTTCCACTGTCCTTCCTTTGTTATACATGTCCTTGTAAATTATTTTGTTGCTATAGCCATAGTTTTCATTGTTGTAGAACCAATTTAGCAAGAATGCTATTTGTAGAACTCACACTCATCTCAGGCTATATTCTTACTAACTGATCTCAAAGGTGTCTATCACACAATATGGATTCAAATATAAATGTATTGTGTGTTTTTCTTTTTCCTATAAGATTGGCTGCCTTTTGTAATCCTTGGCTCATGGACAAACTATCTCAAGCCTCAACAGAAACAATAAACCTTGTATATGGTATAGTAATTTTTATTTGTCAGTGTATTCATATTCATTCTTTCATGTGACCCTATGACATCTCAGTGAGGTAGGTAGGACAGGTAATATAGTTTATAAAGATAGTAATAATATAGTAATTAATAATATAGCAAGTTATATAGTGTTCTAATTAGTATGACATTCATTTACTCTATATATAATTTCATTTACATGGTATTTACTTATACTTTAATAACATTTAAAAGCCCCGTTGAAATCAGGAAGGACAAGTCGAAATTTAAATTCTTTACTCAGAAATGGACCATAATTGAAATCATCGTCAATAACCTAAGTTTCAAAAAATCTAAAATTGCATTGGATAGTACCCAAAAGGTGGTGCTGTACAGGAGCAGTTGTCGGGGAAGCCTGGACAAGTATAAACAAAATTTACCTTGGGCTTTCTCCTGACCAATACCTCAGATCTATCACTAGGCATCAAATCTGTCCCTGCTACATCAGGCTGCCCAGAGTCTACTAAGCCTCCTAGGCCTTATGACTCCATGCAGTGTTCTGTGCTCCAAACGCATTGCCTTCTGCGTTTCCCCCACAAAAAAATAAGTAAATAAATAAATAAAATAAAATAAAACATATCTTTAGTTAACTAAACTGTTAATGTATTTCTCCTGAGTCAAATATTTGCATTTTCACAGGACAATTTTGGAGAAAGAGTTCTTTAAAGGGGTGATTTTAACAATAAGAAAAAATGTAGGATTTTTCCCCATGAATTTCACCAGCTGACCATTTGCCTGCTACACGTACACCCTGAGTTGACCTTAATAATTCTCCATTGTCTGAAATGCAAGAGTCTTTCCACTGGGTTAATAACAGCAGTCAAATAAAGCACATTCTGATTTTTGCACCCACTTAGAAACATGGTGCTAAGCAATAAGTGTAACATCTGAAGCACAGAAGGGTGACTTTTTAAAACAGAATCTCAGCTTTCTCACCTAATAAGTTCCCAGCTGAGCCTAAAAAGTGCTTATCTGAACTCAGACCAGTGACTCCAAATGACCACGTATTAAGAAAAAAAAAAGCACTGTAGTTAAATACTCAGAGCATGTAGAATACTTTAGGCACTTACAATTTATTTTCTTTCTAAAGTACTCTGATGCCTCTTGCCATTTAGTCCAGTTAAGGCAAGTTTTCCCAGACACTTTTCTCAATCCCTCCCAAACAAGGCACAAAGTCAGGGAGCCTCTGAGATCTAACCTGATTTCCACTCTGGCAAATGTGTAGATGGCTGAGCTCTTAAAGTCAAGCAAAAGGTCTTCCTTATAATTGACACACAGAAGTACTGTTAATGGATTCCTAGCTCCTGTCAAGCTCTCCTGTTAAGCTATTCATATGTATTATGAATGCAAGTTTCACAACAACAAAAAAAGTAGCTAGAGTGCTAGAAATGAAGAAAACACCTCTCTAAATTCCCTTAGCTCTCTACCCTGGAGCTGCTGACTCAAGAAACACCAGTGCCCTCTCCTGGTCAGAAGAAAGAAATTCTGTCCTATCTAGCCATAAGGGAGCAGTCAACAAAGAATTACCAAATACTTTATGAATCTGTGTCAACCAACATTTTATTTATAGGAACAATGTTAGGAAACAAGATTTTCATGAATCGTACTGCTTATCTAAAAAGCAGTACTACTGGCTACAGATTCTAGACACAAATAAGAGATAATGATTTTCAAAGAGTGCATACATATATTCAAGCATTGCAAAATTGTTCAAATACCAGATATTCAGAAATGATATGTACACGAAATTGTTTATGTCACTTTCTGTACGCCTATGTATGTAGACAAAAGTTAGCTAAAAAAGGAAATTGAAAACTGTGGAAATCTTGAAAGAAGTTTTCTCATAACAGGGCTCATTCTTTCCAAACACAGTGTCTTTTCTTGTGTACAGATGTTGAAAGCTTTGGTGCAACGAAGAAACTCGCAAGGAAACTGTAAATGTGTAATAAAGGAGCTTAAAACACACACACACACACGCACACACGCACACATGCACACACACATGCACACGCACACACGCACACACACGCGCGCACACGCACACACACGCACACACACACACGCACACACACGCGCGCACACACACACACAGTACCCACAAAGAAAAGAAATACTGTCCTCTTCAAAACAGTTGTTTTGAAAAACTACACTCATATGCTGTGAACCTTTTCAAAACTTCCTTTTTGAAAGTGTAGTCAGAGCCAAAAATCCATTATTATTTTCTGGTAATACCATGTTTTTGATCCACGGATGCATTATTCAGTTTGAGCTCCTATATGATTCAGCATATTGAATTCTAAATCCAATTTAGAATTTCTAAATATTCAAGCATAGTTTCTAGGATAAATATTTATCAACACCAAGGATATTTAAAAAGATTTATCTGTTTGTCTGTTGATAGAAACTTTATTAAAACAATAAAAAGTGGTTTATCATTTGCTCACAAGATAATTGTAAAAGATGAAAAAAAACTTCAAGGGTGACTGAAGCATTGCCAGAAACATGAGAATAAGTTGAGGAGATGGCCGTATTGATTACCTGGAAGAGAATAAAATTTAGATGTCTGAATTTTGTTGCATTATTCAAAAATTATTCATATCTCTTTTCTGTCACCGCTAAGGAAATTTATTGTTGAAACTCACGTTGGGACCTGGGGCTTGAACCACAGAAAGCATGGGTGTTTGGCTATATAGCTAGAGAGAGTCAAGAGAATATTAGACAATTTTTTTCTCATTCTCTATCGGTGTGTTAGGGAGCCTCATTATGTTCTCCTGAGGATTGAACTCTAGGCTCCTCACTTGGCCTTTGCTTAAGTGGATAGAGTGGGGCCACAGGATTTTCTTGTGACATTTGGCTAAAATAGAATGAATATTACCTAAATCTTTTCTATCTTGCTAGGCTGTCATTTTCCTGGTCCTTTTGCTAGAGAGGACAGACTTCTGTTAAGACTTTTTGATTGTTGTTTGCTCCTGTTGATGTTTCCAGGTATCACCTCTTCACATCCCGAAGTTCCTAATAGCTCTGTCTTCTTTTCTCTACCTTTTAGAGCCTTCCTAATCTGTGTATATATATATATATATAACGACAAGGGTTTTCAGCTGCGCTTAGTGTAATGAATAATGAAAATTATGGGTAGTCCATATTGCTGGAAGTGGAAAAACACATTCCTTTTGAGATATCTAAGACATGCATTTGGAGATGCTCAGTAAACAGCTGAATACATGAGTCATGAGTTCAGAGCAAGGTCTGGACAGGAGATATAAATCTAAGAGTCATAATATATATGGCATTTAACACCATGATCCTAGATGAAGTCACTAAGGGAGTTACTGTAAGTAGAAAAGAGACACCCAAAACTTAGTGCTGGGGCACTTCAATGCTTGCAAGATGGAGAGTTGAGGAGAATTCAGAAAGATCCTGAGAAGGAACAATCAGAAAAATGAGAGGAAGTCCAGGGGAGAGTGGTTTCCCAGAAGTCAGGTGAATATAGTATTTCAGGAATTAGAGAGTAATCAACTGTGTCCACTGCTCCTAAAAAATCAAATAACAAGAGGACTGAAAATAGACTATGGACTGTAGAAACATGGATTCTCTTTAGTGGTTATTGTATTGATGCTTTAATTGAATCCATTATTTAATTATTTTCATCAGGTATATTCCTCAAAATTGTATTGTCTTAGAGTAAGAAGGATATATCATATGGTTTGAATCTGTGTCCCCGCCCAAATCTCATGTCAAATTTTAATCCCCAGTGTCAGAGATGGGGCATGATGGGAGGTGATTGAATCATGGGGGCAATTTTTAATGGTTTACCACCATCTTCCCTTGGTATTGTATAGCGAGTGAATTCTCAGGAGATCTGGCTGTTTAAAAGTATATGGCACCTCCCCACTCTTCCTTCAGCTCCAGCCATGTAAGACAAACCTGCTTCCCCTTCACGTTCCAGGATGATTCCAAGTTTCCTAAGGCCTCCTCAGAAGCTGAGCAGATGCCAGCATCATGCTTTCTGTACAGCCTGCAGAACCATGAGCCAATTAAACCTCTCATAAATTACCCAGTCTCGGGTATTTCTTTACAGCAGTATGAGAACAAACTAATAAGCCATCCATCCAACCACTCAACAAATGTATAGCATCACTGATAATTATTGGTAGTCTTTGCTTAAACACTTCCAATGGCAGTTAGCTCACAACTGTGTAAAGTAGTCATTTCCATTTTTGGAGTAACTTATTGTTCCTTGTGCTGGATATGTAATTACTTTTCATTTCTATTCATTATTCACAGTTCTATTTTTGCACTTATGCAACAAAAAGAAATGTTGCCAGGTATTCACAAGTCACTTCTGTTTTGTTGTTGTTGTTTGTTTTTAATCTGTGATTTCTTTAACTTCCACCAGCTGTCACAAGGGTGGAAATGTCAAGAATGCCTACGGCTTCACGAGTAGGTTCAGGAAGACCCTGCTTTCTTCTCGCCTCATCAGTCCATCCCCACAAAGGCCATCACAACACACAGGATTACTAAGCATCATTCCCCACTTGTATTTTCAAATATGGTTTCTTTCCTCTAGGCCATAGTTCTGTCGTTAGCTATCTATCACTCATCCTCCCTATGTCCTATCTAGTAACAAGCAATTGAGAGTTCCTGCTCTGAACCTATGAGAGGGCTTATGTTTACAACTCTGTGATTGCTTTATTTGATATGATGCTCTTAATCCAAGGGCACAATTGGAACAACCAGGCCATTTCCTAGGTACACCTAACAGTAGCTTCTAAATTTCATGTTGTTCCCAACCCCATTCCAGGAGTCAGGACATAATGTCATAAAATGTAGCCACCTAGCTCTAAAATAACATTGCTACAAACTTACCTCAGTAGGTATAAGATGATTTCATCCTAGATACCAAGCCTACCTGTCATCTGTGGGTGAGATAATGTTCATGAAAAAAAAAAGTTATAGAGGGAGAGTCAAGATAATGTGAGTGGAAAAAAGTCACCAGATATATGATTTTTCACATTTTCAGAGAAACTTATCCAGCAGTTATTAAGATATCTCCTAAACCAGTCAGAATTGAGTGAGAAATAACTCACTCTGACTTGGTTGAGCAGCAGACCACATTCCCTTTAATAATCTATTTCTTCTAATCAGCATGATTAGCATGTCTTTAACCATTTCTATTTTTGCTTAACTGATCCCAGGGAAGCTACACAGACAACACAATTCAAGGTGGTTCCATGAAGAGAGAGGTACTGTTTACATGGAATAAACTCTTTGTTCTTATCTACTGTCCACCCCTCATTGTTAGCTACTAAAAATATTTAAACTATATATATATATATAAAATAAAAGGCATATATATGGTGTATATATATATATAAAAGTATATATATACTGTTTATATATAAAAGGTATATATGTATAAATATATATATAATATATATACACATATATACTTTTCTGCCTTTCTGCGCCAAGAAATACTTTTCAAAAAAAGTTTCCTTGACCATGAAAAAACAAAACAAAGGATCAGCAATGTTTTAAGCAAAAAGTTAAAAAGATTACTTCAGTCTTTTATTAGTTCACTTCATGCAGTTAATTGCTTTTCTGCTTGATATTCAAGAACATTTCAGCTGTTGGTGAGTCCCAAAAGTTTTTTCTCTTTTCTGATATTACAATTTCCAAAACTATCAGAAACCTGCATTCAAGAGCATCTGTTAGAGTTTTCTAGCTGATTATGAAACCACCCTCTAAAGAGGACCAAAACAAGAAAACAACTGTCTGTGGATGACAAAAGTTTTAGGGTAGGCATAGTCAAAGACAGAATTGACAAGGAAATTTTTACCTCTGTGGCACATAATAATTTAACATAACAATTATAATTATTACTGATAATATACACTATGTTATATTAGAATTACAGGATCTTCCCATGATTTGGGAACATATATCAATAACATATTTATACAAATACAGTCCAAAGGAAAGCAAACACCATTTCATATTTGACAATGCTTCCTGTATAATTTTTATACCAAATAAGCCAAATTATGTCATTTTTGAACTTTAGGGAACTTAATATTTTAAAGGATTAATTAGGTCAGAAAAAGACATAATTTATAATTTGATTTTGGAAATTTTGTCAAATATCCAAGGCTTAAAACACTTAATATCACAGGTTATTGTAAAATAAGTCATTAATTTGACCAAAGTTAATAACTCAAGGATTTCAAAAACAGCAAAAACCTTCACTCTTTAAGAGGAAACTTCATTTTACAAACAATAAGCCATAATAATATCAGCATAAAGTCAATTGAATTTATTTTCCAAAATTTTATAAACAACCTATAAACTCTTAATCTTAACCATAAGCTATAACTTCCATAATCTTTTTATAACCTTTATAACCTTTATTAAGGAGTTGGTTAATACTTCAATAAAACCTTGTTAATCTGACACAGGGGCCCATATGATGGTCTTCCATCAGTGTGTTTTTGACATTAATTATTAATTTATAGAGGAATTGAACTTATTTTTTTCTGATAAAATCAGCCCTTACAATCTCACACACCCACCTCTTCTGAGATATTTCCTGGGCCTTGAGGAAGTTGAATAGCTTTAATTTCTAGCCCTGTGTTTCAGGGATGCAGTTTATTTTTATTGGCATCTTCTACCGGGCATGAAGATAGGGCTTTAGTTGCTGTTAGTGTTTAAAATTTACCAGGACTTAGTGTTCTTTTAGACTCAGGAGTCAAAGCCTTATAACTCAATGTCACAAGGATTTAAAACAGAGAGTTACGCAGATGTAATAACATTCGTTAAAAAAAAGTTGAATCAGTTTTTTTCCTAAGCAAACCAAAACTTAATAATAATATGACAACTTGATTATATAATAGTTTTTGAGTTTTTGAAATAAATAATCATATTTTGACTTAAACAGAACGTTCATGACATGGTTGGACTTTCTGGTTTGTCTTGAACATCCCTTTTTCTTAAACGACCAGACATTTTACTCTAGGACTAAATTCACTACACAAGATTCTTTCTCATATAAAATTATATCTCTGTAAGTTTTCTTCCCAAAGTAACCTTTTATTTTTATAACTTTATGTACATCTCTCTTATTTCCTAGTTCCTTTTACCTTGTTTTATATGTAACCTTTAAATAAGCTTTGAATTAGTCAAAGTTGTTCACCCTTTTAAAAAGGACACACCTTTTTTCAGAATGTTTTTCTACAACAGATTTTTATTGGAAAATACCCAAATAATGAAATATCTGTTATTTAATTTAATATAACTTTATATTCTAAATTATGACAAGTTTGTCCACAAGTATTTATCTCATTACATTTACTTATTTTATTTTAATCATTTACCTAGATTATTTATGAAGACTGTGATAGTCATCATTTAAAGTTATGAAACACATGGCCGGGTATGGTGGCTTATGCCTGTAATCCCAACAATTTGGGAGGCTTAGGCAGGTGGATCACCTGAGGTCAGGACTTCAAGACCAGCCTGGTCAATATGGTGAAATCCCATCTCTACTAGAAATATAAAAAACTAGACAGGCATGATGGCACATGCCTGTAGTTCCAGCTACTTAGGAGGCTGAAGCAGAAGAACCGCTTGAATCTGAGAAATGGAGGTTGTAGTGAGCCGAGATCATGCTACTGCACTCCAGCCTGGGTGACAAGAGTGAAACTCCATCTCAAAAATAATCATAGTAATAAAGCTATGGAACACACCACTGCAAAATTATAAATGAGACAGTGAAAAAAAAATCTGATCTAACTGATTCCATCTTGCTTCTAACCTCTAAGCTGTCCTTGTTCATTTCTGGGCATAGGCTGAACTAACTTTGGTAGGAACTTATAGTTTAGCTTTGAAACAAAGATGACAATAGTCCTTTCACCAAACAATCTCCTTACTACCTGTGGAGTAGACTGTTTAAAGCCACAAGTTTAGAAGTTATGGTAACCTTACTAAATGAAAGATGTAGCTATTTTCATTAAACCAATATTAATGTCTTATTTATTAAAAATTACACGAGCAAAGATCATTCTGTTTTGGGCTGGGTTTATGGTTTTGTAAATTCTATGCCAAATTTTGACGCCTTATAGTATTTGGCAGAGATAAGTATGAAATTCCTTGATTCAGAAATGCAAACAAAATGTATGCTGGCGATTCTCAAGACGTTTCTAATATTACTTTATCAATAATTTTAAAGCTAGCTTATTTACTAAAAATTTTACTTAAGTTACATAAACTTGAAAAAACATTTGGCTAGTCTTTTTTCTTAATAAAGTATTTGATTTAAATCCTTTTTTAAAGCTAATTACAGCTCTTTTTTATATTTTTAGTAGTGAAACATTTTGTACACAACACAAAAATACATAGTTATATTAGACATACTAATAGAAATACATTTTATAGATTTTTTTTTTTGAGATGGATTCTAGCTTTGTCGCCAGGCTGGAATGCAGTGGCACGATCTCGGCTCACTGCAATCTCTGCCTCCTGGGTTCAAGCTATTCTCCAGCCTCAGCCTCCTGAGTAGCTGGGATTACAGGCACGCACCACCATGTCCAGCTAATTTTTGTATTTTTAATAGAGACAGGGTTTGACCATGTTGGCCAGGATAGTCTCGATCTCCTGACTTCGTGATCTGCCCACCTCAGCCTCCCAAAGTGCTGTGATTACAGGTGTGAGCCACCATGCCCAACCCATTTTTTTAATTTTTAAGACCTTTTTTATTCCATTTTAGAACTGCAAACTACTGAAACTCAGTTTTATTACCCTGGCAGTTGTCAGCCAAATAGCTTTAAATTTGAATATTGAATGAAACAACTCTGAGACGAAAAATCGCATAGCAAAATTTGCATCTCAAGATACAGGAAGAAAATGTCTGATGGTGCTAGAAGGAGACTAAAGATGGATGCCAAATCAAACATAAAATTATAGAAATCTATCATAGGATAGACAGTAGTATCATAGGATTGTATGAGGAGACCAATTTTATTTACATAGAGACTACCTACCTTTTAACTGGATCTCTGAACTCTGGGCAGAACCTCATAATTCTCCCATTTTGGAGACCCAGGAGTCAGTGTGGGCTGACAACTGCCAGAATAATAAAACTGATCCTTTTACAGTGCACTTAGATTTTTTTTTTAATGAAGACATTTCTAAGTTTCTAAACTACATTCTTTTTTCAAAACCTAAGAGTAGCCTCTGTTGCAATAACTATTTTAGTTAAAAAATTAGGTAACACAATACAAAATCAAGCAATTTAAGGGCTGAGATGAACTTGTCTGTTTACATTCTTGGGGTTCCTTAAAGAAAAACTGAGGTTTCTCGCCCAGAGAGAGTCTGGTGCTTTCTCCGTATTCTTTAAGGAAAGCCCAGGCTATTACAAACTATTTTAAATCCCTCATGCAGCCAGAAGGTACAAGAGAAAGGAGAGGCAGCAGAAGTAAATGAAGAAAACAGAATTCAGTCAACCAAGAAGAAAAAAACATTTGCTCAAAAAAAGACAAGGTCCTAAGGAAAAAACAAAAGAAAAATAGGAAGCCCTTTTAAATACAAACACACACAAACATACACACACACACACACACACACACACACACACACACACACATCTTGGATGTAAGCTTTTAATTAAGCTAACTTTTAACCATTGAGCTCCTTTAAAAAAATCTTTTTAAATCTCATTACTGTATTACAGCTAGGAGAAATTGCTGATATTTAAGAAGTACAGCTATTGTTCTTTTAGCTAGGCCTGACTAGGCTGCCAAGAAAGGTGGCCTTGTTTTATAAATAAAGCCTCTTAAGTAGTCAAAATAAAAAATCTTTTCTTTCCTTTTTTTTTTTTCTGGCCATTTTTCTCCCACCACCATACCACTTTTGTGTGTATGTGTGTGTGGGGGGGGGTAAATTTAGCCACTTTAGAGGCCTCTTTCCTCATAATTTGAAACTTTCTTTGGATTTGATAAAGTTGGATAGAGTTGGTCAAACCCAATGGGAAAAAGACTGAAACAACCACTAAAACAGAAACAAACAACATAAAAACAGTTAAGCAAAACAAATGATGGCACAACTTAAATGATTACTGAGCACTTTCATGGTAAGGAGAAATTAAGACCAGCTGATTGTTAATTTTAACTTTAGCCAAGACAAACCCAAATTAGTTACTTACATAGGGATGGGTCTCAGGCTGAAGACTACTCTCTACCATCCTAGAAACAGGAAAAAAAACCTCTCATCTTCCCTGTTGGAAGTGAGCTCAAACTCCATAAAGGAGTTACTTGCCTTCCATTGACATGGAAGCAGAGAAAACTTGCCTTCCTTGTGTTGAAAGCAAGTAAAACATCAGAAAAAGGAGTTGTACAGCTAAATAAACTTTAGATTGAGATCAAATTTTGGGAGATGAGTTCTCTGAAGAGAATGGTCCCCTACCTCGGCAAATTTTCCTATTGGATTGAGCGATAAAGTTAGCTCAGGCTGGTACCAAGCACCGATAGGAGATTTGTAAAAGGTCAGGGGTAACTGCACTCAAAATCCCTTCATGGTTACCAAAATGTGAACCCCCAAAATCTGAGACAGTTCTCGGTTAAGTTACAAAGTTAATTTTGTCAAGGTTCAGGATGCGTACCCATGACACAGCCTCAGGAGGTCCTGATGGCATGTGCTCAAGGTGGTCAGAATACAGTTTGGTTTTATACCTTTTAGGGAAACATAAGACATTAACTGACATATGTAAGATGAACATTGTTTCAGTCTGGAAAGGTGGGACGACTGTAAATGGGGAGGGGCCTTCCAGGTCATAGGTAGATAAGAGACAAATGGTTGCATTCTTTTGAGTTTCTGATTAGCCTTTTCAAAGGAGACAATCAGATATACATTTATGTCAATGAGCAGAGGGGTAACTTTGAATAGAATTGGAGGCAGGTGTGCCTTAGCCGTTCCCAGCTTGACTTTTCCCTTTAGCTTAGTGATTTGGGGTCCCAAGGTATTTTCCTTTAACATCCTAATCCTTGAAACCTATAAATATGTTACTTTACATCATGAAATCAACTTTGCAGATGTGCTTAAGGATTTTGAGATGAGGAGAATGTTCTGGATTATCTACCTAAGGTAAATGTACACATGGGACCTTATAAGGGAGAATCAGAGTTTGCAGTGGGAGATATGAAAATGGAAACAAGACGATGAAGCAATGTGAGGAGGTTGTCATGAGCCAAGAAATGCAAGCAACCTTAAAGAGCTGGAAAAGACAAGGGGGCAGACTCTTTCCTAGACCCTCTGCAAGAAATAAAGTCCTACCAACAACTTGATTTTGAGATTTCTGACGTCTAGAACTACAAAAGAATAAATTTTTTATTTATTCTTTATACGTCTAGAACTACAAAAGAATAAATTATTTTAAGCCACTAAGTTTACAATAATTTATTACAGTGCTAATAAGAAACTAATACAAAAGCTTACAACACTACTCATATTCCACCCTTCCCAAAGCACCAGATATTTTCTTTTTCCCCTCATAGTTGCATTCCTATATCCCAAGACCATATGTTAAATACATGTGGAGAATTAAGAAACTTGTTTGTTAGTCAGTTTCTATATCATCAGTTTCTGTGCTTTAAATAGTTATGATTATGGTTATAGCTATGGTTATGGTTAGTTATCATTAGTCATGGTTATGGTTAAGATGAGTTTATGATTATGGGTAGTTATAGCTATGGTTAATTATGGTTAGTTATGGTAAATTGTGGTTAGTAATAACTACCAACATGTTACATCACTAGTTATGGTTAGCATGGCTTTGGATATAAAGATTCATAATAGCTACCAAGTAGCTATATTAACTTGTTGTGACTATTAACTAGTTTTGGTTACTTTTTATGAGTGCTAACTAGTTATTAATATGACTTGGGATTATTAACCCAACCGTAGTTACCAATCTCAACTAATAACTGCTTGTGTTACCGAATGTGTTTATTAACCAATTATGGGTAGCCGTCTGTGACTACTAACAAGTAATGATTACTGGCTTTGACTACTATTTGTAGTCACCAATTTGGCTACTAAGTAGTCATGATTAACTGTTAGTAACTAATAACCAGTCATGATTGCCAGTCGACTACTAAGTAGTTATAGATAAAGGTTTGGCAACAAAAAACTTCTTTTTATAATTTGTGATTACTATCTAGCTATAGTCACTAGTTTATGACTGATAATTAGCCATGGCTATTTATGTGTGATGCCTAACTAGTTGTGCTTATTAGTCTGTGACTGCTAATTAGTTTTGGTTACCTGCTATTGCTACTTACCAAATAGTTTTGGTGACCAACTGCGATAACTAGTTATGTTTATTAGACTAGCCTAATAATTAGTCATGATTATTCAGTGTGCCAGTAACTAGTTGTGATTACCAGTTTGATAATAATAATTATTCACGTTTACTTGTTATGGTTAGTAATGATTGTGTTACCAGAAATGGGTCCTGATCCAGTCCCCAAGAGAAGGTTCTTGAATCTTGCACAAGAAAGAATTCAGGGCAAGTCAACAGTGCAAAGTGAAAGCAAGTTTATTAAGAAAGTGAAGTAGTGAAAAAAATAGCTACTTCAGGCTGGGCCAGGGATGGCGGCTGATGCCTGTAATCCCAACACTTTGGGAGGCCCAGGCAGGCAGATCACTTGAGGCCAGGAGTTTGAGACCAGTCTTGTCAACACAGTGAAACCTTGCTTCTACTGAAAAAAGAAAATATAGAAAAAAGTAGCTGGGTGTGGTGATACATGCTTGCAATCCTAGCTACTCGGGAGGCTAAGGCATGATAATTGCTTGAACCCAGGAGATGGAGGTTGCGGTGAGCCCAGATCACACTTCTACACTCCAGCCTGGGTAACAGAGCAAGACCCTGTATCAAAAAAAAAAAAAGAAAAAAAGAATGCTACTATGTAGACACCATAGACAGAGTAGGGCATTTCCTAAAGTAAGAGGAAGAATATGCCCACCTGAGGAACAATGCTTGCTTATATGTAGGATAAAAAAAGACCACTGGGAGATATTCACTGCTACAAGTGTTTGTAAAAAAGGATTAATTTTCTTTATTTTTATTTTTTTTCTTTTTCTTTTTTATTATACTTTAAGTTTTAGGGTACATGTGCACAACGTGCAGGTTAGTTACATATGTATACATGTGCCATGTTGGTGTGCTGCACCCATTAACTTGTCATTTAACATTAGGTATATCTCCTAATGCTATCCCTCCCCATTCCCCCCACCCCACAACAGGCCCCGGTGTGTGATGTTCCCCTTCCTGTGTCCATGTGTTCTCATTGTTCAATTCCCACCTATGAGCGAGAACATGCAGTGTTTGGTTTTTTGTCCTTGTGATAGTTTGCTGAGAATGATGGTTTCCAGCTTCATCCATGTCCCTACAAAGGACGTGAACTCATCATTTTTTACGGCTGCATAGTATTCCATGGTGCATATGTGCCACATTTTCTTAATCCAATCTATCGTTGTTGGATATTAGGTTTGGTTCCAAGTGTTGCTATTGTGAATAGTGCCACAATAAACATATGTGTGCATGTGTCTTTATAGCAGCATGATTTATGATCCTTTGGGTATATACCCAGTAATGGGATGGCTGGGTCAAATGTTATTTCTGGTTCTAGATCCCTGAGGAATTGCCACACTGACTTCCACAATGGTTGAACTAGTTTACAGTCCCACCAACAGTGTAAAAGTGTTCCTATTTCTCCACATCCTCTCCAGCACCTGTTGTTTCCTGACTTTTTAATGATTGCCATTCTAACTGGTGTGAGATGGTATCTCATTGTGGTTTTGATTTGCTTTTCTCTGATGGCCAGTGATAATGAGCAGTTTCTCATGTGTCTTTTGGCTCCATAAATGTCTTCTTCTGAGAAGTGGCTTTTCATATCCTTTGCCCACTTGTTGATGGGGTTCTTTGTTTTTTTCTTGTAAATGTGTTTGAGTTCATTGTAGATTCTGGATATGAGCCCTTTGTCAGATGAGTAGATTGCAAACATTTTCTCCCATTCTGTAGGTTGCCTGTTCATTCCATTCTGTAGGTTGCCTGTTCATTCTATTCTGTAGGTTGCCTGTTCATTCTGATGGTAGTTTCTTTTGCTGTGCAGAAGCTCTTTAGTTTAATTAGATCCCATTTGTCAATTTTGTCTTTTGTTGCCATTGCTTTTGGTGTTTTAGAAATGAAGTCATTGCCCATGCCTATGTCATGAATGTTATTGCCTAGGTTTTCTTCTAGGGTTTTTATGGTTTTAGGACTAACATTTAAGTCTTTAATCCGTCTTGAATTAATTTTTGTATAAGGTGTAAGGAAGGGATCCAGTTTCAGCTTTCTACATATGGCTAGCCAGGTTTCCCAGCACCATTTATTCAATAGGGAATCCTTTCCCCATTGCTTGTTTTTCTCAGGTTTGTCAAAGATCAGATAGTTGTAGATATACGGCATTATTTCTGAGGGCTCTGTTCTGTACCATTGGTCTATATCTCTGTTTTGGTACCAGTACCATGCTGTTTTGGTTACTGTAGCCTTGTAGTATAGTTTGAAGTCAGGTAGCGTGATGCCTCCAGCTTTGTTCTTTTGGCTTAGGATTGACTTGGTGATGCGGGCTCTTTTTTGGTTCCATATGAACTTTAAAGTAGTTTTTTCCAATTCTGTGAAGAAAGTCATTGATAGCTTGATGGGGATGGCACTGAATCTATAAATTACCTTGGGCAGTATGGCCATTTTCAAGATATTGATTCTTCCTACCCATGAGCACAGAATGTTCTTCCATTTGTTTGTATCCTCTTTTATTTCATTGAGCAGTGGTTTGTAGTTCTCCTAGAAGAGGTCCTTCACATCCCCTGTAAGTTGGATTCCTAGGTATTTTATTCTCTTTGAAGCAATTGTGAATGGGAGTTCACTCATGATTTGGCTCTCTATTTGTCTGTTATGGGTGTATAAGAATGCTTGTGATTTTTGTACATTGATTTTGTATCCTGAGACTTTGCTGAACTTGCCTATCAGTGTAAGGAGATTTGGGGCTGAGACGATGGGGTTTTCTAGATATACAATCATGTCATCTGCAAACAGGGACAATTTGACTCCCTCTTTTCTTAATTGAATACCCTTTATTTCCTTCTCCTGCCTGATTGCCCTGGCCAGAACTTCCAACACTACGTTAAATAGGAGTGGTGAGAGGGGGCATCCCTGTCTTGTGCCAGTTTTCAAAGGGAATGCTTCCAGTTTTTGCCCATTCAGTATGATATTGGCTGTGGGTTTGTCATAGATAGCTCTTATTATTTTGAGATACGTCCCATCAGTACCTAATTTATTGAGAGTTCTTAGCATGAAGTGTTGTTAAATTTTGTCAAAGGCCTTTTCTGCATCTATTGAGATAATCATATGGTTTTTGTCATTGGTTCTGTTTATATGCTGGATTATATTTATTGATTTGTGTATGTTGAACCAGCCTTGCATCCCAGGGATGAAGCCCACTTGATCATGGTGGATAAGCTTTTTGATGTGCTACTGGATTCGGTTTGCCAGTATTTTATTGAGGATTTTTGCATCGATGTTCATCAAGGATATTGGTTTAAAATTCTCTTTTTTGGTTGTGTCTCTGCCAGGCTTTGGTATCAGGATGATGCTGGCCTCATAAAATGAATTAGGGCAGATTCTCTCTTTTTCTATTGATTGGAATAGTTTCAGAAGGAATGGTACCAGCTCCTCCTTTTACCTCTGGTAGAATTCGGCTGTGAATCCATCTGGTCCTGGAATTTTTTTGGTTGGTAAGCCATTGATTATTGCCTCAATTTCAGAGCCTGCTACTGATCTATTCAGAGATTCAACTTCTTCCTGGTTTAGTCTTGGGAGGGTGTATGTGCAAAGGAATTTATCCATTTCTTCTAGATTTTCTAGTTTATTTGCATAGAGGTGTTTATAGTATTCTCTGATGGTAGTTTGTATTTCTGTGGGATCGGTGGTGATATCCCCTTTATCATTTTTTATTGTGTCTATTTTATTCTTCTCTCTTTTCTTCTTTATCAGTCTTGCTAGCAGTCTATCAATTTTGTTGATCTTTTCAAAAAACCAGCTCCTGGATTCATTGATTTTTTGAAGGGTTTTTTGTGTCTCTATCTCCTTCAGTTCTGCTCTGTCTTAGTTATTTCATGCCTTCTGCTAGCTTTTGAATGTGTTTGCTCTTGCTTCTCTAGTTCTTTTAATTGTGATGTTAGGGTGTCAATTTTAGATCTTTCATGCTTTCTCTGGTGGGCATTTAGTGGTATAAATTTCCCTCTGCACACTGCTTTGAATGTATCCCAGAGATTCTGGTATGTTGTGTCTTTGTTCCCATTGGTTTCAAAGAACATCTTTATTTCTGCCTTCATTTCGTTATGTACCCAGTAGTCATTCAGGAGCAGGTTGTTCAGTTTCCATGTAGTTGAGCAGTTTTGAGTGAGTTTCTTAATCCTGCGTTCTAGTTTGATTTCACTGTGGTCTGAGAGACAGTTTGTTATAATTTCTATTCTTTTACATTTGCTGAGGAGTGCTTTACTTCCAACTATTTGGTCAATTTTGGAATAAGTGCAGTGTGGTGCTGAGAAGAATGTATACTCTGTTGATTTGGGGTGGAGAGTTCTGTAGATGTCTATTAGGTCCGCTTGTTGCAGAGCTGAGTTCAATTCCTGGATATCCTTGTTAACTTTCTGTCTCGTTGATCTGTTTAATGTTGACAGTGGGGTGTTAAAGTCTCCCATTATTATTGTGTGGGAGTCTAAGTCTCTTTATAGGTCTCTAAGGACTTGCTTTATGAATCTGGGTGCTCCTGTATTGGGTGCATAGATATTTAGGATAGTTACCTCTTCTTGTTGAATTGACCCCTTTACCATTATGTAATAGCCTTCTTTGTCTCTTTTGATCTTTGTTGGTTTAAAGTCTGTTTTATCAGAGACTAGGATTGCAATCCCTGCCTTTTTTTTGTTTTCCATTTGCTTGGTAGATCTTCCTCCATCCCTTTATTTTGAGCCTATGTGTGTCTCTGCATGTGAGATGGGTTTCCTGAATACAGCATACTGATGGGTCTTGACTCTTTATCCAATTTGCCAGTCTGTGTCTTTTAGTTGGAGCATTTAGCCCATTTACATTTAAGGTTAGTATTGTTATGTGTGACTTTGATCCTGTCATTATGATGTTGGCTGATTATTTTTCTTGTTAGTTGATGCAGTTTCTTCCTAGCCTTGATGGTCTTTACAATTTGGCATGTTTTTGCAGTGGCTGGTATCGGTTGTTCCTTTCCATGTTTAGTGCTTCCTTCAGGAGCTCTTTTAGGGCAGGAGTGGTGGTGACAAAATCTCTCAGCATTTGCTTGTCTGTAAAGTATTTTATTTTGCCTTCACTTATGAAGCTTAGTTTGGCTGGATATGAAATTCTGGGTGGAAAATTCTTTTCTTTAAAAATGTTGAATATTGGCCCCCACTCTCTTCTTGCTTGTAGAGTTTCTGCCAAGAGATCAGCTGTTAGTCTGATAGGCTTCTCTTTGTGGGTAACCCGACCTTTCTCTCTGGCTGTCTGTAACATTTTTTCCTTCATTTCAACTTTGGTGAATCTGACAATTATGTGTCTTGGAGTTGCTCTTCTCGAGGAGTATCTTTGTGGCATTCTCTTTATTTCCTGAATTTGAATGTTGGCCTGCCTTGCTAGATTGGGGAAGTTCTCCTGGATAATATCCTGCAGAGTGTTTTCCGACTTGGTTCCATTATCCCCGTCACTTTCAGGTACACCAGTGAGACTTAGATTTGGACTTTTCACATAGTCCCATATTTCTTGGAGGCTTTGTTCGTTTCTTTTTATTATTTTTTCTCTAAACTTCTCTTCACACTTCATTTCATTCATTTAATCTTCCATCGCTGATACCCTTTCCTCCAGTTGATCGCATCAGTTACTGAGGCTTGTGCATTCATCTTGTAGTTCTCATGTCTTGGTTTTCAGCTCCATCAGGTCCTTTAAGGACTTCTCTGCATTGGTTATTCTAGTTATCCATTTGTCTAATTTTTTTTAAGTTTTTATCTTCTTTGCCATAGGTTCGAATTTCCTTCTTTAGCTCAGAATAGTTTGATCTTCTGAAACCTTCTTCTCTCAACTAGTCGAAGTCATTCTCTGTCCAGCTTTGTTCCATTGCTGGTGAGGAGCTGCGTTCCTTTGGAGGAGGAGACGTGCTCTGATTTTTAGAGTTTCCAGTTTTTCTGTTCTGTTTTTTCCCCATCTTTGTGGTTTTATCTACCTTTGGTCTTTGATCATGGTGACGTACAGATGGGTTTTTGGTGTGGATGTCCTTTCTGTTTGTTAGTTTTCCTTCTAACAGTCAGGACCCTCAGCTGCAGTAAACTCTTTTGGAGTTTACTGGAGGTCCAATCCAGACCATGCTTGCCTGGGTATCAGCCGTGGTGGCTGCAGAACAGCGGATATTGGTGAACTGCAAATGCTGCTGCCTGATCGTTCCTCTGGAAGTTTTGTCTCAGAGGAGTACTTGGCCGTGTGAGGTGTCAGTCCACCCCTACTGGGGGGTGATTCCCAGTTAGGCTACTCAGGGTCAGGGACCCACTTGAAGAGGGAGTCTGCCTGTTCGCAGATCTCAAGCTGCATGCTGGGAGAACCACTACTCTCTTCAAAGCTGTCTGACAGGGACATTTAAGTCTGCAGAGATTATTGCTCCTTTGTTTGTCTGTGCCCTGCCCCCAGAGATGGAGACTGCAGAGGTAGGCAGGCCTCCTTGAGCTGTGGTGGGCTCCCAGTTCGAGCTTCCCAGCTGCTTTGTTTACCTACTTAAGCCTTAGCAATGACGGTCACCCCTCCCCCAGCCTCATTGCCGCCTTGCAGTGTGATCTCAGACTGCTGTGCTAGCAATGAGTGAGGCTCTGTGGGCGCAGGACCCTCCGAGCCAGGTGCAGGATATAATTTCCTGGTGTGCCGTTTGTTAAGCCCATTGGAAAAGCACAGTATTAGGGTGGGAGTGACCCGATTTTCCAGGTGCTGTCTGTCACCCCTTTCTTTGACTAGGAAAGGGAATTCCTTGACCCCCTGTGCTTCCCAGGTGGGGCGATGCCTCACCCTGCTTTGGCTCATGCACGGTGCACTGTACCCACTGTCCTGCACCCACTGTCCGGCACTCTTCAGTGAGATGAATATTTATAAAATACTATTCAAAAAATATGCCAGATTAGACTGTGCACAGGTTTTAGACACATACACACACACACCAATATATGAACAAATACATTTCAGCTGATTTCATTATAAATTGATAGGTGCTTGTTTGAAATTAGAGACTCTTTTCACTACCAGGGAGTCATCAATGTGGAAAAGGCATAGATATGGAATATGCAATGTTTTTCTCTTAAATTTGTGTTGGTTGACTATGGGAAGCCAGGAAAATTATCTTTTAAAATGAAAATAAAAATTCATTCTTTTTTAAGCCCACAAATAAAGTCACGCCATGCACTTTCTGGGGGACCATGAATAAAACATCAATTATTTTCTAAAAATCAACATTGTTTTCTTTTCCAAATACAATAATACTGTTAGGTAGGTAGATAGACATTAGCAGCTGGGAGGCGGTAAAGAGGAAAGCAAAAAGGCTGTCACTAACTGGCCTCTGGCCCACCCTACTTCATTCCCAAGACCGCCCTAACTCTACTCTAACAGATAGAGTTTGTGGTAAAGTCTCTGGCCAGCACATCACTGAGAGTAAGGAAATAGGGCACAGGTGGAAAGGTACTAAAGCGGCTCATGCCCAAAAACACCAAACCATGTTCACCCCAAGCTCATTATACTATCATTATAATAGAATTTGCATGTGTTTTTTCCTCCCCAAAGTGGGCTTTTCTTTATGAATTATGGGTGGAAACATGCAGCTTAATTTTTTTTTATATAACCATAAATAGTAAATCTATTGATATCATCCTGTTAATCAGACACAGCCCAAACCTCAACTCCTCCTCACAAATCCCATCATAAGCACCTTCATCTCCGTAAAGAGCTCTCCCTCCGAGAGTGTATTACTGTGCTTCAATAAACTTTGCTTTGACCTTGCATATTGGTGTCAATTTGCAGTTACTTGCTTACTATCAGGAGAACCAAGATTGCTGATCCAGAGCTCTGGCTGTGTTGATCTCCTCAGTTAAAAAATCCATCCCAATACAAAATTCCCAGTAACACTACCTTGACAATTATATTAGTCACCTTAGGCTGCTGTAACAAGGTACTATAGACCTGGCAGTTTAAACGAAAATTTATTTTTCAGTGTTTTAGAGGCTAGAAGTCTAAGATAAAGGTTCTGGTTTATTTGACTTCTGATAAGGGCTGCATTCTGGTGTGGAAAACACTGCCTTCTTTCTATATCCTCACATGTCCTTTCCTCAGTGCATACACATGGAGAAACACACACATACACACACACACACACACGAAGAAAGACAGAGAGCATGCACATGCCAACACTCTGGTACCTCTTCTTATAATGATATTAATCCTATCGAATTAGAGCCCCATTCTCCAAGCCTCATTTAATCTTAATTACTTCCTTAGAGGTGCCATCTTCAAACATAGCCACACTGGCAGTGAGAAAATCAACATAAAATTTTTTTTGGGGGGTGCACAAACATTCAGTCTATAACAACAACTGTCACTTAACTTCCATATTCGATATTAACCAAGTGATACCCACCTAATTAACATCAAAAAGGACACAATGCAAAGAATTGGCTAGAGAAAAATCATCAGATCATATGATCACTGTAATAAAATTATTTAAACAATGGGCTGAAGAATAAAATAGTGATATAATGTTCAATACAACATAAAAAGCATATGAAATGGAGCAATGAAGATTTGAATTTGGAGTAGAAAACCCTAGAGGCATTCTAAGTTCTAACCAGAAAAGCCACGTTGAATGAATTCATATTCTGTATGTGCACATGTTGAAACATATAAAAAGTGTGTGTGTGGATACATATAAATATATATAGGTAAATACACATATATAAATATATAATATAAATATATTATTATATATTTACCTATTACCTATATAATATATAGGCAAATATAAAATATATTTATATAAAAGTAAATATATATATTTACCTATATAAAAGTAAATATATATTTTATATACATGTAAATATACATATATTCATATATATAATGGTAAATATATATATACTTTTCTGAATATTCTATGGCTTTCTATGTTTATATATAAAATATATATTTATATATTATATGAAATGTTTGGAAGAGCAAAACTTTTGCATAACTGTGGATATTGCATATTTCCTTTTAAAATGATTAGTAATTAAATCCACTTATATAAAATTGAATATTGGTTTATATATGTTAGTATGCAGCTGATAAATAACGTTGAAAGACAATTCAAAGCTTAAAATTAATCTGTGGAGTGAAAATGTATAAGAAAGATTATTAAATATTTATTGATCAATAGTTAAATGGAAAAATTAATACATTTTATATGTAAATTAAAAGTATATCTATGTGTGTGTGTGTATATATTTATTTATTTATTTATTTATTTATTTATTTAAATAATATGCTATGAGACTTTAGACCAATCATTTAGGGCACAGAAATTTCTTGCATGTTAAAAATTGATGAAAGAACTTACTGGTAATAAGAATGAGACAAGTAATATTAACAGCAATATTAGTAGTGATAATAGTAATAGACCGACTATGACTAAAAAATGGAAAAGATAAAATGTAATAAATGCTTCTTTACCTTGCATGCAATGTGCTTAGGGACTTCCTGCAGATTAGCTCATTTGATCATCATAACAAACTTGTGGAATGGAAGCTATATTAACTGATCTCACAGCTTGTCATGCGGATCAAATAAGGTAATGTATCTAAATAGTTTAGGAATCTGAAAAGAAACAGAGTAGTAGGATATATATGCTATCACAAAGTGATCCAAGGCTAACAAACTAAATATAGCTATGACATAAGGATTACCTTTTGACAACATATGTACTGAGAATGAAGTAAGTTCTTTGATTAATTCTTATTAGTTAAAATTAACTTCCACTATTAAATAACTTTTATTACCCACACCCCAAAGTACATGCAGATACTCACCTATCTATATAAAAATTCTGTCTTCCTTTCCTAAGACTTAATATATGTTTATTTATTAATAGGGAAGATTTTAAATATTAAGAAAAAATGCAGTTGTTTTTTGTTACTACAGAGCTCTGAAAAATAAGGTGCAATGGAATACTACTCAGATGTAAAAAAAATGGAAACATGTCTTTTGCAGCAACATGGACAGAACTGGAGGCCATTATCTTAAGTGAAACAAGCCAGCCACAGAAGGACAGATATTGCATGCACTCATTTACAAGTGGAAGCTAAACAATGTGTATGAATGGATGTGGAGTGTGAAATGACAGAAAATGGAGACTGGAAAGAGTGAGGGGATGGGCGGATGGTGGATGATGACAAATTACTTAATGGGTACAATGTACATTGTTCAGATGATGGATACCCCTGATGCCCTGACATCATCATTACCCAATCTATGTATATAACAAAAATTGTAGCACAAAAATTTGTACAGGCAAATGTAATTTTGCTTTCTTATAAAACAGGATAGTTTTCATATATTTATAAAGGACAAGTAGCTTATGAAACATTTCATCATAATTGACTAGGAAAGTACATATTTCAAAATACTGAAATAAGTTTGTGACACATTCTCTGTGGGATGTTAAAAATCAATAGTTTCTATTACAGTCAGTGTTTCACTCCTCTACAGAGAATATTATAAATTTTCCATATTGTAAATGACCCCTTGAGAGATGCCTTTCTCAGTTTGGTCACCATTAAAATTACTCTTCTCTTATAGTTGAGTACAAAAAAAAATCACATGAGAATATCAATCTTTGAATACTAATGTCTTTATCATTAATAAAATAAATAAACCTACTTGAGTTTAATAAATAAGCTTGAGCTTATTTATAAATCTACTTGAGTTTAATAAACTATCAGAATGAGTTGCTTTGTATCAAGGCGTAAACTATTTCATATGATTTCTTTATTGGACTCTCAGTGATTTGTAGATGTAAAATCACCTCCTGTAAAAACGAAATAATACTGGCAGAATTCCTGAAAGTACAGAAGGCAAAACCCTCAGAAATAAGATATACACTAGCCTTGGCTATGGCACCAAAGTGGCTACCAAAGTTGTATTTAATTTCAATTTTGCTTATAACTAGCTCCACTTGGGAGCATGTCATGACTATGAAATAATCATTTCTCTCCAGGAGCAGACTTTTTCAACCCCGATAAATTTTAACTAGGATAGAGAGCTTAACAGAGATTAAGAGCTTAACAAATTCATTGGTACTGAGCCTAATTTTAATCCATTTTGAATTCCACATCATTAAAACCGCAACACTTGATCTCAAGTGAAACATGTTACAGAGGCTACCTAAATTATTCTAATGTTGTCCTGGAAAATATTGCGACTTTTGTGGAAGCTAATAAATATTCCAATCTTATCATGACCCCTTGACAGATGCCTTTCTCAGTTTTGTCACTTACCAAAATCACTGTTGTCTTATAGCCAAGTACAAACCAATCATGTGAGCATAACAATCTTCATGTTTATTTTTTCTCTTGTTAGAAAGTCAGAGTGCTTTGTATTTATATTAACTATGTCAATAAATATATACAATAAATATTTTTGCAATAAACATTAAGGAGGTCAAAGATTTGTCATTAGAATTTCTTGGCCCTGCCTCACAAATTGGGTGAAAATAAAATTAGAGGACCTGAACTTGCTTTGGCAAGCAACCCATCTGTTAATTACCTGGCACTTGATATTTAGCCAATCTCTTTTTTAAAAAGAGTGTGAAAACATTACTGTGTGAGATATGCAAGACGATTTATTATCACCATTGTCTTAATTCATTGGTATTACTATAAAGAAATATCCAGAGCTGGGTAATTTATAATGAAAACAAGTTTATTTTGCTCAGGGATCTGCATGCTGTGCAGGAAGCATGGCATTAGCACCTACTCGGATTTTGGTGAGGTCATGATGCTGCTTCCACTGGTGGTGAAGGGCAAAGGGAAGCTGGTGTGCAGAGATCACAGGTAAAAGCAGAATCAAGGGTGGGGGTACTAGACTCTTTTTAACAATCAGCTTTTGCAGGGACTTGTCATGGGAACTAACAGTGAGAACTCACTCATTAAGGCAAGGATGGCACCAAGCCATTCGTGAGAGATTTCCCCTGCTCCAAATACTTCATATGAGGCCCCACCTCCAAAATTGAAGATCAAATTTCAGCAATTTGAGCATGTACAAGAACCTACTGTGAAAAAGCAAAGAGGTTTGGGAGGTTAAATATACCAACTATAGAATTCCTCCCTGCCTCCCCAAAATTTATGTCCTTCTCACATTGCAAAATACTATCATATCTTTCTAACAGTCACCAAAAGTTTTAACTTGCTCCAGCACCAACCATGGTTTAAAGGGAAGTTCGTTCCAGCTATGAACCTGTAAAACCAAGAACAAGTTATTGACTTCCTACAAGTTATTAACTTCCTAGAGCCAGTGGTGGAGCAGGCATTTGGTAAACATTATCATTTCAAAAGGGGAAAACTGGCCAAAAGAAAGAGGTAACAGGCCACATGCAAGTCCAGTCTTAAGTCTTAAGTCTTAAATCTTAAATCGCCAAAATGATCTCCTTTGACTCCATGTCCCACATCTTTTAGATTCCATGTTCCATATTTTGGGCACACTCATGTGAGAGGTGGGTCCTCAAGACCTTGGACAGCCATGCCTCCGTGGCTTTGCTAGATGCAGCCCATGTGACTGCTCTTACAAGTTGGAGTTTAATTCCTGTGGCTCTTCTAGTCTGAGATTCCATGGTGCCAGTGACTATAATTTTGGGGTCTGGAAGGCAGGAGTCTTGCTCCCACAGCTCCATTAGGCATTGCCTTGGTAGGGACTGGCCGTGAGGGCTACAACCCCACATTTCTGCTCAGAATAGCCTTAGTAGAGTCTGTTGGCTTCTGCCCCTGCAGCAGGCCTCTGCCTGGGCACTCAAGCTTTCTGTTACATTCTTTGATATCTAGGTGGAAGATGCCAAACCTTCACTAATCTCGCATTCTATGCAACTGAATTCTACACCAGATGGATGCTGCCAAAACGTATGGCTTGTGCCCTCTGAAGCAAGACCCTGAGCAGCTCCTAGGGTCATTTGAGCCTTGGCTGGAGCTAGAGCAGTGGCAATGTGGCAAGAAACATCCTGAGGTGGCATAGGTGAGCAGCGTTTAGGCCTGGCCCTCAAAATCATTCTGTCCTTATAGGCCTCTGGGCCTTGTGATTGGAGGGGTTTCCTCGAAGATTTCTAACATGGCTTCAGGGCCTTTTTCCCATTGTTCTGCCTAATAGCACCTGGCTCCCACCTTGCCTGAAAAACATTTTTTGTCTCTACCACATCGCAGGGCTACAGATTTTCCAAATTTGTATACTCTACTCTTTTAATTTTAAATTCCAACTTTACATTATTTCATTGCTCCCTTATCTTATTATAAGCTGGTAAAAGAAGTCACAGCAATTTTTGAACATTTTACTATTTAGACATTTATTTCACCAGGTACCCCAGGTAATCACTCTTAAGTTTGGCCTTCTACAAAGCCCTAGGGCATGGACACAATGAGCCAAGTTTTTTGCTGCAGCTTAGCAAGAGTGACCTTTGCTCCAGTTCCCAGTAGTTCCTCATTTTCTTCTAAGACTTCATCAACCTGGATTTTACTGTTCATGTTTTTATCCACATTTTAGTCACAGCCACTTAACCAGTCTCTAGTAAGTTCCAAACTTTCCCTCATCTTCCTGTCTTCTTCTGAGCCCTCCAAAATCTTCCAATCTCTGCACACTACCCAGTTCCAAAGTCACTTTCACATTTTTAGGTATTCTTATAGCAACACCTTGCTCCTCAGTACCAATTTTCTCTCTTAGTCCACTATGTTGCTATAAGGAAATACCTAGGCCTGGGAAAGTTATAAAGGAAAGAAATTTATTTGGCTCATAGTTCTTCAGCCTGTACAGGAAGCATGGCACTGGCATCTCCTTGGCTTCAGGTGAGGGCTTCAAGTTGTTTCCACACATGGCAAAAAGCAAAAGGAAGCTGTTGTGCAGAAATCACACGGTGAGAGCAAAAGCAAGGGAGAGTGCTAGATTTTTTTTTAAACAATCAGCTCTTGTGGGAACTCTCATGGGAACTCGTAGGGCAAGAACTCACTCATTACCATGAGGATGACACCAAGCCATGCCTGAGGAATGTTCCCCCATGACCCAAACACTTCCCATTAGGCTCCCCCTTCAAGATTGGGAATCAAATTTCAACATGAGGTTAGGTGGGTCAAATGTCTAAACTGTAGCAGCCATAGTACAGACAATTTCAAATTTAAGTAACTTAAGGTCAAACAACTAGAAATCGGCAAAGGCAAGACATAAAGTCATCTCCTGATTTTAAGTGTAGTTTCTATGAATATTTACAACTCTGCTATACATTTTTAATTTGTCCATAAGCTCTTACAAATAAGGACTATGACTTCATTGCCACCTTTTTCACCCTTCTTTCTAACCCCATCCCAGCAAATAATATTTACATATAGGCATTCTAAAAATGTGTGTACAGAATGGCTGCTAAAAATACTATAGAATTCTATGCCATGATGCACTGACTTTTCTAAACTTCAAGGTGACTTTTCTTGAAAGATCTCCTTTATTTAGGAAGACAAATTCAATAAATGGCAATTTTGGCTTAGGCCTCCCAATTTCTCATTATCCACTAAAACTTGTGGGGAGGGGTGGTTCTTAAGACAACACACCCACCCATAAACAAAATGCTGCGTTGGTCTATTTAGCTCTTAGATAAAAGTTTTACTGGTATGAGATTCATAGACAAAAATATGAAATTACAAAATGCTGAAGAAGTGAAGAACAAGAAAAATGCATTCTCCAAGAATGTTTCTAGATCAGGAATTTATTAATAATCATAAAATGACTTATGTTTATTCAAAAAATCTACTCAATATATTACAAGTCATGGTGATAGATAAATAAGTGCTCAAGTTATATGAAATGAGAGGTCAGAGAAAGTGTTGAAAAACACCTGATTGTGTACAAAGGAAAGATTAATGCATATTAAATGAAAAAGTACTATGTTCCAGAAACTGCTTAAAAGAGAGTAGGAGAAGAAACTGATATAGTGCTTGAGTAGTTCACTTAGTAGAAGAGATAAAGCATAAGCACAAATTGCCGTATTATTGGACTTTGTTTTCTGGCCTAGTGGGGATAGGAAGGGATGCAGAGGATGCAATGTATCCTATCTACCAAGCTACTTTCAAAGTAATGACAAACAGGTCACTAATTCTACTATTGTGAGGAAACAGGTTACTTGCATTTTATTAAAACTGAGAGTGTATAGTAATAAAATTACCCTTTCATACTGTCTTGCCCTGGGATAATTTATACTATAAATAATGAGAATTATTACACTCTAAGAATATACAAGGACACTGTATTCATCAAGGAAAGCATGTTTTTACTCCAGCTTCAGCAATGCTTTGTCATTGCTAAGGTCATAGTCATAATGCATGTAGCTATTTCCCATCCAAGTAATCATTAAACACAATTTTCGACTCCTGGAAAGCTATAACTACAGACAATTCTCTTGAACCAAGCTGTCCAAAAATAATGATGCTTTATCACTCTGGCCTACATTCCTTTGCTGTCATTCATGGAGTTGACTGAGTCTCAAGCAAGGCTAGAAGTCTACTTTCCAACTCCCAACTCATGAGATTAAACAAACATATGTATTATGATAGGATACAAAAGTGAAACACCAATAACTTGCTTCACATAATATTATCTGATCATATGTAATATTATAATCACACTCCATTAACTCATCACAATCTCTTTTGATTGGATAACAAATGTTTACGTGCCTTCTTTATTACACTACATTTTTTTTCTGATTGGTTAAAATATACTCCCTGCAGCAAATCCCTGCATATTTTCTTCACTTGATTTACCTTTATATTTATTCACCCTTTTCCTAAATATTCTACCAAATATAATTATTTTTTAAATCTATGTATTTTATTTATAATCACATTTGTTCTACTATTACTCCATTCTTGTACTACCCTTAACTCTAGGCACTATATTCTCTGGCCCTTATCCCAGCCTGATCTTTCCTCATTGCTTAGGTGCTACTTTCTTAAAATCCTCCCCTACATATGCCTCTGTTTTTTGAAAAGTAAAACCATATTATGTTTTCTTTTTTAGTCCAATAACATTTTTTTCTGCCTTTCATCACTGGCAGTTTCTTTGGTCTTTCACCTCCACTTATCTCTTTCCAACTTCCTTATTATCCTTTCCTATAATTTGCCCCATTTGGAGCAAGGAACTCAGACTCAGAATTCCAAATATGTCTTGGGAATAAGAGTGGGCCCTTCCATTGACAGTAATGTAAGCGTGTATAGGCAAGATATTTTACTGGATATCCACTTAGCAGATAGCACTAGTGAAAAGGCTGAAGAGCCACAGTATCTAAGTTTAACCCAGTGATAAAATTAGAAGAGCACAGCTTTATGTGGATGAATTTCAATTTTCACTGTAGTTTTATGAGTGTACTTGTATTAGTCTTCTAGGGCTGCCATAGCAAAATTCCACAGACTGGTTAACTTAAAATAAATTTCGTTCTCTGAGTTCTGGAGCCTGGAAAATCAAGGTGTCAGCAGGTTTGGCTTATCCTGAGGCCTTTCTCCTTGGCTTGAAGATGGCCATATTCTCTCTCTATCTTTTTCTCTGTGCATATACATGCTTGTTGTCTCCTTATCTTTCTGTAAGGGCACCAGTTGTATTGGATCAGGGACTCACCCTTATAAAATCTTTTAATCTTATTTATCTCGTTAAAGGCCCTATCTCCAGTAGAGTCACACGAGCGTTTAGGGATTCAAATTATGAGTTCTGAGGGAATGAAATTTAGTCTGTAAAAGTACTGTAGCAAAGTATTGTAAAATGTTCAGTATACCATGATCAGCTACAACATCTGCCTTAAATAAAATCACTAATAATAAATCACTGTAGATTATGATTCAAGCATATTCAAGGTAATCCTTGTAATTTCATCACTTTCACGTTTTTTGCATTTGAATTAAGTAAGTTGGAGAGCAAGGGCTAGGTTAACTGCTAGAACAACTTCTGTAAAGTTATTGACATCATTTCCTAGATTCAAACTACAGATTTCAATGCAAATCAAATACATCGATTTATTTAGAGACAGAAAATCATCTAATACATATGTGAGAAGGTGCTGAATTGTGCTGCCCCCCAAAAGATACTTTGTTATGCTAAACCCCATTACTTCAGAATGTAACCTTATTTTGAGATGAGGTATCTACAATGATAAGAAAGATAAAATGAGGTCATTAGGTCATTAGGTTGGGTGCTTATCCAATATGACTGCTGCCCTTATAAAAAGAGAAAATATGAACACAGAGTAAGACACACATAAAGATAAGAGGATGTGAAAACACAGGAATAAAACTATCTATAAACCAAAGAGAGAAGCCTGGCACAGATCCTTTTCTTATAGCTGTCAGAAGGAGCCAACATTACTGACAATGTGGTTGCATACTTCTCACCTACAGAATTGTGAGAAATAAAAAACTTTAAGTCACCCAGTTTGTTGCACTTTGATATGTCCACCCTAACAAAAAAATGCACACAAATGTCTGACCTTTTGTTTCCTCACATATTATTCATATTACAAAAATTTTCTTGGCTAGTGTATTCTAACTCCATACCTACTCTTTGAAGAAATCACTAACATCTAATAGTACTTTTGGGAAAGAACAAACAAACAATAACACTTCACTACTTTCTAGAATTACAGAATGTATATGTCATAGGTTGAATTGTATTCTTCAGAAAGGATATAGTGAAGTCCTAACCACCTGTACCTCAGAATATGACCTTATTTAGACACAGGATATTTACAGAAGTAATCAGGTTAGAATGAGGTAACTATGCTGGATACTAATTCAATATGACTCCTGTCTTTATAAAAAGCAGAAATTTGGACACAGAGACAAATATGCCCAGAGAGAACATGATATGAAGACACACAGGGAGAAAATTGCCATGTGACTGAAGTGATGCATCTACCAGCCAAAGAATATCAAGGATTGTAGGGAAACACCAAAAGCAAGAAAATACAAGAAAGTATTTTCTCCTAGAGCTGTCAGGGAGAGCATGGTATTGCCAACACCTGGATTTCATACATTTAGCCTCCAAAAGTGTCAGACAATACATTTCTTGGTTTAAAGCCACCAAATTTTTGGAACTTTGTTATAGTAGCCCCTGGAGACTAATACAGATGACCTTTAAAGGAAAATGTGTAATGCATTATATGCAAATAGTAATTTTTTTTCCCCTTCAAACTTTTATTTTAGGTTCAAGGGGGTACACGTGCAGGTTTGTTACATGGGTAAATCACATGTCACTGGAGTTTGGTCTACAAATTATTTCATCGCCTAGGTAGTGAGCATAGTACCCAATAGGTCATTCTTTTAATCTTTACTCTCCTCCCACCCTCCACCCTCAAATAGACCCTGACGTTCATTGTATCCATGTGTACTCAATGTTACCTCCCATGTATAGTTGAAAACGTGCAGTATTTGGTTTTCTGTTTCTGTGTTAATTCACCGAAGATAATGGTCCAGCTGCATCCATGTTGCTGCAAAGGACATGATTTCATCCTTTTTATGGCTGTGTATTATTTCATGTTGTATATGTACCACATTTTCTTTATCCAGTTGATGGGCATTGTGATGGTTAATTAATATTGAGGGTCAACTTGATAGGATTGAAGGATGCAAATTATTGTTCCTGGTTGTGTTTGTGTGTGTGAGGGTGTTGTCAGAGGAGATTAACATTTGAGTCAGGGGACTGGGAGAGGGGCAGACCCACCCTCAATCTAGGTGGGCACCATCTAATCAGCTGCCAGCACAGCCAGAATAAAAGCAAGCAGAAAAATGTGGAGAGATTTGACTGGCTTAGCCTCTGAGCCTACATCTTTCTCCCGTGCTGGACGTATACTGCCCTCGAACATTGGACTACAAGTTCTTCAGCTTCGGAACTCGAACTGCTTTCTTGCTCCTCATCTTACAGATGGCCTATTGTGGAACCTCACCTTGTGATCGTGTGAGTTAATACTCCCTATTAAACTCCTCTTTATATGTACATCTATCCTATTAATTCTGTCCCTCTAGAGAGCCCTGACCAATACAGGCATCTAGGTTGATTCCATGCTTTTCACAGTGGCAGGACTAATTTACATTCCCACCAGCAGTGTATAACCATACCCTTTCCTCTACAACCTCATCTACCTCACTCATCTGTTATTTTTTGACTTTTTAATAATAGCCATTGTGACTGGTGTGAGATGGTATCTCATGGTGGTTTTGACTTGCATTTATCTAATGATTAGTGATGTTGAACCTTTTTTTTTTTTTTGAGATAGATTCTTGCTCTGTCACCCAGGCTGGAGCGCAGTGGCTCGATCTCAGCTCACTGCAACCTCCGCCTCCCGGGTTCAAGTAATTCTTCTGCCTCAGCCTCCCTGAGTAGCTGGAATTACAGGTGGGTGCCACCACACCTGGCTAATTTTTGTATTTTTCGTAGAGACGAGGTTTCACCATGTTGGTCAGGCTGGTCTCAAACTCCTGACCTCGTGATCTGCCCTCCTCGCCCTCCCAAAGTGCTGGGATTACAGGCATGAGCCACCGTGCCCGGGCAATGTTGAACTTTAAAAAGTATGTTTGTTGCCCACATACATGTCTTCTTTTGAGTAGTATCTGTTCACATCCTTTACCCATTTTTAATGAAGTTGGTTGTTTTTTGTTGATGATTTGCTTAAGTTTCTAGTGGATTCTGCATGGCAGTCCTTTGTTGAATGCGTGCTTTGCAAATATTTTCTTCCATTCTGTGGGTTGTCTATTCACTTAGTTGATAGTTTCTTTTGCTGTGCAGAAGCTCTTTAGTTTAATTAGGTCCCACTTGTCAATCTTTGGTTTTGTTGCAATTGCTTTTGGAGCTTTGACATGAAATCTTTGTCAAGGCCTATGTCCAGAAGGGTATTTCCTAGATTTTCTTCTAGAGATGCCAATGAGTCATAAGTTTGGTCTCTTTACATAATCTCATAGTTTTTGAAGGTTCTGTTCACTTTTTTATTCTTTTTAAAAAATTGCCTGATTGAATAAAAACTGGTCTTTCCACAGTGAAACCCCGTCTCTACTAAAAATACAAAAAATTAGCAGGGCATGGTCGCGGGCGCCTGTAGTCTCAGCTACTCAGGAGGCTGAGGCAGGAGAATGGTGTGAACCCGGGAGGCGGAGCTTGCAGTGAGCCAAGATCGCGCCACTGCACTCCAGCCTGGGTGACAGAGCGAGACTCCATCTCAAAAACAAACAAACAAACAAACAAACAAAAAAAAAAAACCTGGTCTTTCAGCTCTGAGATTTTTTCCTCAGCTTGGTCTAAATCTGCTGTTAACTCTTTCCATTGTATTATGAAATTCTTGTAGTGAGTTGTTCAGCTCAATTACATCAGTCTGGTTCTTAAATTGACTATTTTGTCTTTCGGCTCTTGAATCATTCTACTTGATTCCTTAGATTTTTGGGGTTGCATTTCGACTTTCTTCTGAACCTCAATGATCTCCACTGCCATCCAGATTCTGAATTCTATATCTGTCATTTTAGCCATTTCAATCTGGTTAAGAACCATTGCTGGAGAGTTAGTGCAGTCATTTGGAGATATGAAGACACTCTAGCTTTTAGAATTGTCAGAGTTCTTGCATTTGTTCTTTCTCATCTGTATGGGATGATGTTCTGTTAATCTTTGAAACTGCTGTCCTTTAGATGGAGCTTTTTTTTTTCTTTTTGCTTTTATATTCTTTGATGCCCTTGAGAGTTTGACTGTGGTATAAGTTTAATTGGGTTTAAGTTTAGTTGTTATAAGGTTACTTAGTTTGTGGGTTTCATTGACTGGCTTTGTTTTGGTATAATTTCGAGGGGCCAAGCCTCAGCTCAGCACACCTGATCTGCATGTTCTAACCCTGGGTTGCTGGTACCAGGTGCATGGGTTTTGTTTTCTGTCCGCCAGAGGGTAAGCACCTGCTATGCTAGAAGGAGCCCAGGAGTTCCAACAACACTCTGATGGGGGATGCCTGCAAAAGTGCTTCATCAAGGATGTGGCTGTAGCGTCAACACTTGTGGCATGATGGGACAGTGGCATCTGTTTCACATGTGCAGGTGGCAGTGGGACAGCACAGTCTATACATGTGCCTGTGCCAGCTGTGATGGAGCAGTGGTGTCCCCACATGCATGTGCCAGCGAAGCAGTGGGGGGAGGCTGCAGGCAAGTGCACATTGGCAAAGTAGTGGGGGTAGGCTGCAGGTGGCTGCTTGCTGGTGGAAACCCATCTGCAAAAGTTGTCTTACAGCCAGTGAATGAACTGTTGTGGTGGCCACTGGGAAGCACCCTGACTGGGCATCTGAGGCTACACTTAAAGCAGGTGTGGCCAGGCAGGGGCATGGTAGAGGCTGGCAGATGGAGGGGTGCTTAGATCAGAATGGTCTTGTCCCATGAGCAAGATAGCTCTGTTCTGTCCAGATTAAAGAGTCAACAAAGGCCAAAGCCACCCAGAGGAACATGGCAAGGCTTGGAGATGGTTGTCCCTGGCCTTGCTCCACTGCAGCCCTTCTAGCACCAAACCCTCTGGGCCCCATGAAAGCTGGAGTCCTGTGCCTGCCAATTATCCATGCAGCTCTCCCTGCCAGCTCAAATGTCCATGGGGGTCATGGGATCCCCTGAAGCTAGGATTCCAGAGGTCCATGGAAAGAGTGGGCCACTCCATACCTGTTTGACACACCCCTTCCCCAGGAGCCACTTGGAGCCAGGAACAAGTCCTGGTGCTTGGCAACATCGTGCATTGTTCTCAGCTTCCCCGGCTGCTTCAGCCCAGGGTCTGTGTCCTCCCTCTATTCACTCTCAATGCCTTCCTTCTGAAGATCTGCTCAGTGTGCTGGTCTTCTTGCTGGTTTGGCCTCAGTGGAAGAAGATCTTCCTGGCTGTGTCTAATAGGCCATCATGACTCTCTTTCCCTGATAAAGTCAATATATGATTTATATGTGTATTTTAATAGAGTGATAAATGATAATGTTGTTACAGCTCTAACGAGCAATTCTATTCAACAACATTCAGTGAACTATATCCCCAACAGCACTATTGTTACTCTCCATTCTTAGAAATTCAACAGTATTTAAGACTCTGAAACATGCAGTCTAACACTCAATCATATACTATCCTATATGGTTTACCTCTATTTTATGTGAGAAATGTACAGGGAAGCATCCAGTGGGAAAAGATCAATAATTGTAACTGTTTCTAACACATTCCTTTCTATATTTTTACTTATTTATATGTGCCATTATGTGTATAGATTATTTTTTCTAGACTCATGAGGATTATTTCATCTGTTGCTGACTTTTACCTTGGGAACTATTTGTTACCCTAGTTATCTTAACCAAAGTAAAGATTTTTTTTTTTCTACTTGGTTTGGTAAAGATAAGTTTGACTTTATCAATAGATGGAACAAATTAAAGTTATTATTAAAAAATGTACCAGAACTGTTATTAACCCCCTTATATCAAATATAGAAATTAGGCATGAGTATTATATATAAAATTTATTGAGTCAGGTACTGTTCTAAGAGTTTGGTATACATCGTATGTTTTAAACCTTACAAGAATTCAATGTGAGGAAATTGAGAAATGAAAGGTTAAGCAATTTACTCAAGGTGACACAGGTAGGATTCAAATCCATGCAGGAATAAAAATTAATCTAACCTGAATTGGTACCACGTCCCCTAGATACCAAACTGTGCTGATGCCAGGAAATTTTATAAGATATGTGAAATTAAAAATAGTTCTGGTCATTGATGAAAATAAATTAGAATTGAAAAGCTCATCTTTATTTTTGCTCACTGAAAAAGCATTCATTCTTTTTTCCCCCTCAGGATCAGCAATGACTAAGCAAAACTTTAATCAGTATCTGAATGAAATCTAAGGTACTTGAGTTGAAAACTAAAAGAAAAGGCAGGAATACAGATCATCCTAATCCTGCAGAAAAAGCTGTGGTTTCACAATAGAGGTAAGGAAGGACTTGATGGAGAAGTCTATGTGCAGAGGGAGAGAAGATAAACTAGAAGAAAGGAAGCATTCACATGGAAAACACTGCTTTTGTAGAACTAAATTGTTAAGGCTTGTGCCTCCTGTGACACAAAAATTACAAATTGATGTTCTTCAAACGTTTATTACTCATTTGAGATTCACCAAACTCTAACTACCTGCATCTCCATTCTAGCCCAGTATGTCTTTGGTCTGGGAAAGATTGTGATAAAAGAGATGCTTTGAGAAGGAGTAGTTACAATGGAGATAGGTCTTGAGGAACTGCCACCTCAATACCTTCACAACTATATTTAGCTATAAAAACCACTGGTTAGTAGCAGCAGCATCAGAGAGAAGATTCTCCAGAAAGAAATATTAAAATGGAATTTACCTATTATTTCTTGTCTTACTCCATTCATGCTTCTTTAACAAAATGCCATAAACTGGACAATTTATAAATCATAGAAATGTACTTCTCACAGTTCCATAGTCTGGGAAGTCCCAGATGACAGCTTAGACAGATTGTCTGGTGATGGCTGCTCTCAGCTTACAAAATGATGCCTATTGCTGTGTCCTCGCATGGCAAAAAGAAAGAAGGGCAAAAAAGGGACAAACAAGTTCTCTCAAGCCCTTTCACAAGGGTATTAATCCCATATATGAAGACAGAGCCCTCATGGTCTAATCAACTCCTAAAGGCTCCACCCCTTAATGTTATAGACTTCAATGCCCTACTGCTACAATAAAGCTGGCATATGTCTAACTTAGTGCCAAGGATTCCTTTCATGGATTTCAGACCATGCTTAACACATCTGGTAGATGCTGGCTTTGTTTCTCTTTAAGGTTTTTGTGGGCTTTGAAATTCTACTCTATTCCCTGAAGCATATTCATTAGCCTATTGTTAAAGCTATATTTTGGGAAACCTTGGCTCCTTTACTTACTTTTCCAAGCTAATGTGTATGCCTATTCCCACTAGCTGTGATAGCCTTCAGAAAGCATCAACTTTTCTGTTTTATCTAGTTACATTGGCTTCCCTTAAAGTCCAGAAAACCAGTAAGTTCTCCTTTTCTTTTTGTTCAATTATCTTTTTCCTATAAAGCCCTCCACTAACTTCCTTCTTCATATGTTAACAATGCCTGCGGATTTCTGTGTCTGTGAAGAGTAGAAATGAATGACATATTATTTGAAACTTCTCAAGCTCAGATTTCAAGCCTCATCTAAAGTAAACAGAGGCGTATATAGAAGCTGTCTTTCAAATTAGACAACATATTCTTTGAAGTCAGAGTCTGTAACTTGCACTTCTATTGTGTGTTCTACTTCTGTCATGTAATTTGGCATATGTTTCAACATAAAATTATTGGCTATACTACTACAAGCCTAAAATAAAGTTTAGGTTGACCAAAACATAATGGTGTAAATATTTCTTTTAAAATAGTATAAAGCTTTGAGCAGCTAATTATCACCAAATAATTACTATATTAATTGTAAACTTCATTAGTGATGATTTTGAGAACACCACATATTTTATTGAGACATTTGTGTTTTTATCACAGAAGTAAAGGTAACAATTTTGAACAGAAATTTGTCCTTGGTTAATATAGGTATGGAGGACAAGGACCAGATACTATGTATCACCTCATACCACAAACAAGTATCCACAAAAATTGTGAAAAGTAGGTAAAATATAAGGTACTTGTTGTGGAGAAGGAAGGATCTGTGATATCGATTGCCTCTCAGGAAAGAAAGTGAGCCTCATTTTAGCCCTAGGTAACAGTGGTTCTACATAAAAATAACAAATCAAAAGGTATATAAGCTAGGTAAAGGAAGATATATAAAAGAGGATGGTTTCTTCCTCTCAACTATTTAAAAGCTCTAATTAAAGGTGTACCCAAGTTCTACTTTTGTTAATAATGCCCTATTGCAGCAATAATTTTCTGTTTTTCCATTATCTCCTTCTATTTTCAATGGATAAAATGAAGGCTCTACCTGATATCTTTAAAGAATTCTGATTATCCTTCCAGTTGGCAAATGCTCTACTGTCTTTCTACTTCTCTGTGTTAACAGTTCTGATGTTTAAAACTTACACGACTCCAATAACCTCATTCTAAATTTATAAAATTAGTTCTTGCTGACCTGTCTTCACTAAAGTAATCACGATAGTTAACTACTTTACGTCAACTTTTTGAAGTTTTAACCTTTTATTGGGTTTCATTGCACATAATAGATGTTCCATAAATATCAGTTGGATAAAATTATTCTTCCCTCAATAATTATGTTTAAGTAAATTGGCCATGCCAATCTTAATTAAGCAGTTGCTAGAGAGCAGTATTCACTAGTAGAGTAGTCCCTCCTTATTCATAAGGAATACGCTCCAAGGCTTCCAGTGGATGTCTGAAACTGAACATAGCATTAAACCCTATATATACTGTTTCTCTTATTCTATACCTATGTACCTATGATAAAGTAGAATTTATAGATAAGGCACAATAAGATATTAATAGCAATAACCAATAATAAAATAAAACAATTATAACAATATGCCAGTATCACTACACTTGCTCTTTGGGGCCATTTCTAAGTAAAAAAAGGGTTACTTCAACACAAACACTATGATACTGCAACAGTCAATCTGTTAACCAAGATGGCTAGTAAGTGACTAGTGGCCAGGTAGCTTATAGAGCATGGATATGATGGACAAAGGGATGATTAATTTCCTTGGTGGAACAAAGGAGAATGGTGCAAGATTTTTTTTATGCTACCAAGAATGGCACATAATTTAAAACTAATGGTTTGCTCATTTTTGGAATTTTTTGTTTAATATTTTTGGGATATGTTTCATTGACAGATAAAGAGTAACTACATCACTTAACTTTCTATAGTTAAAGAACAAATGTTTATCAAAGTACTTAGTCGGAATTCTATTGTGGGATCAAGATTCATTCATTGATCATTCACTAAATATTTATTTAGTACCTATTATGTGCCAGACCTTTCTCTGGATGCTGATGCTACCAGTAAAAAAACAAAACAAAACAAAACAAAGGCTGACATCTTTATTATCATGTTTCTTCTGTTTTAGTGAAGAAAGATAGATAAATACATAATGATAAAGAAAATTCAACAGTGTAAAAGTGTTCCTATTTCTCCACATCCTCTCCAGCACCTGTTGTTTCCTGACTTTTTAATGATTGCCATTCTAACTGGTGTGAGATGGTATCTCATTGTGGTTTTGATTTGCATTTCTCTAATGGCCAGTGATGATGAGCATTTTTTCATGTGTTTTTTGGCTGCATAAATGTCTTCTTTTGAGAAGTGTCTGTTCATGTCCTTTGCCCACTTTTTGATGGGGTTTACCTAATGCTAGATGACAAGTTAGTGGGTGCAGTGCACCAGTGTGGCACATGTATACATATGTAACTAACCTGCACAATGTGCACATGTACCCTAAAACTTAAAGTATAATAATAAAAGAAAAAATAAATAAATAAATAAATTTAAAAAAAGAAAAAAAGAAAATTCATAAGTCGACATAAATATAAATAAGAATATACTACCTAATAAAGATGAGATTTGAAAGCAGCAACAAAAGAGTGTATTATTAAACCCATGGTTTTGGAACAAATGGCTTACCTTTGGATAAAAATAATTCCTTCTCTCACAAAACGAATTCATTAATTCATTCACCTGTTTATTCAACAAATATCAGTTGAGAATCTAATATATGCCAGTCACTGTTCTTGGCATTGGGGACAGAACAGTGAACAAAAAGGATAGGTTTCTGCTCTCATGGTGCTTACAGTTTAGTAGGGGAACAGAGACAATAAACAAGATAAATAAGTCAAATACCATTCTATGTAGTTGATCTGCCAAGGTACATTCAGGAAAACAAAAAAGATACTAGATATCTCAACAGACAAAATTTAATATAGGAATCTGGTTAATCATGTGTTGGAGGTTTGAAAAAAACAAGAACATTGAGGTAATGCATAGGTAGTAACTGTAGAAAGCAGCTGTCAATCCTAGAGCTCATGAAACAAAGGGAAGAAGTTAGGTATGTCAGAGCCAACTAGCTGAGAGAAGAGTCTCCATAGAGTTGGGACACAGAATTCTGGGGAGAGAGCACTGCCTAGCCAAGGCTGTTATGTCAGGAGCTCAGGGACAAAGCCTAATTGGAAGAGCTGGTGTTCGGACTTCTGGGATAAGGCTCTGTATGGCTTAGTGGAGAGGACTCTCAAAGATCATTTATTAGGGGGCACTGACTAGCCAGTGCTGCTGCATGAGCAGCTCTTAGTAGAGGTTCCACAAAGCTGTGATTGAGGTATTTGTGGAGAGGGTGCTCCCAAGATTTGGCCGGTACCTCTGAGGTTCTAGAATTAGGATGGTTCCGGAAGTTAAAAAGAATCTAAAGACTAGATCCCTGCTGCAGTCAGAGTGAAAAATTATTGCTGGGATGATGCTGATAGAAACAGCAAGCAAACAGGAAGGAACAAATCACTTCTCTTTTTCACCCTTCTTTTTGTCTTCAAGTTCTTTTCTAGCACACTGTATCAGTAGAAAACAGGCAGATAAGCAAATATTTTGTTAGTCATCTAACAAGAGACATGTAGTTTTCAGAGTCCAGGCACCAACATCACAAAGCAGAGCATGCAAGGGTAGGTTTAGAGCAGAGAAAAAATAGTTTAATAACCATGGTAGTCTGGTTCTTCACTAATCAGAATTTGTATGTATCCTTCTATATATATATTTGAACTTTCTTTCAACTACAAGAACAATGTTATACTTTTGTGCAAAATATGCATGTATTCTCATACAAATAAAAGTTATTTCATGCTCTCTCTGAAAGGAAAGACACAAATTCCCGACAGTAATTGCACATATCTTTGAGCAATAGTCATTCACACATCTCTGGGTGATGTTAAGTTAATTATTCCTCTAATTCTGTTACAGTATTATCGGAACATTCTAAACCCTGAGCACTAAATTATAAACTTAAACACAGACAATAATCCTTATGTAAAATCATAAAGGGAAAGTAAGAATGAGAACAAAATCAATGTGTGAGCACACATTCCCATAATAGAAAACAAGGAGGAAAATGTGCATACCAGACACAGTTCTCTTTTCTGAAGCTGTAAGGCCATACTTAATATATATTAGAACCTTTTCCTGATACTTTTACCATGTTTCTTTTTCCTCAGCCACCTCTCAACTAAATCTTGTCTTTTTTGATTACAGTTGTTTACCATTATATTATACTATAAGACATGGAAGTTTAAGAAGCAGGCACTGAATTCCAAACACAGTCTCCTGCACCTATTAGATAGTGGCAACTCAATTTCCTCCTGATAGTATCAATTACCCAAGCCAATGAAGTAACCTCTTTCTTTGCCTGTTGTTTTTGTGGCATGAAGAGTCAAATACAATGGCTAAATGGCAGCCTAGATTTTCAACTTAATTAATCCATTGTTATATCTCATGATGAAAATAGTTTTTTCTTTGGAATTAAGAACTCCAAATAAGCAAGATTCAAAGTTATGGGAATAGGAAGGAAAAATTCTGTGACTGTTTTAGGTATATTAATAAGCAGAATCATTTTCATTTATTTCCCTTGCTTTCCGGATTCACGTGTTATGTCCATGAGGGAAAGTGTACCACATATTGGTTGCCTATTAAAAGTATTACTGAATTTTGTAAGATAAAGTCTCTTCCTTTCAGGGTGGATTATCTAAAATAATATTGTAAATGAATCCCTGATGCATAATTCACTATGTTATCAAGGCACCTATTTATAAATGATACCGTACATTTTAAGATTTGTGAATTGTATAGTCATGAGCTCATTGGTACATTTATTTCACTGTGAAATAAATTCCTTGATCAGAAGCAATGTTGTATAGAATATGACTGATAAGACATTAAACCCTTTTGAACATTTAATAAACTTTAATAAGCTTTATTTTAGAATATTTTTAGGTTTACATAAAAGTTGCAGTTCTACTACAGACACTCTATACCCAAACTCAGCCTTACCTATAATTTATTTATTTTATTTATTTATTTTGAGACAGGGCCTCACTCTGTCATCCAGATTGGAGTACAGTGGTGCGATCATGGCTCACTGTAGCCTTGACCTGACAGGCTCACATAGTCCTCCTGTATCAGCCTCCTGAGTTACTGGAACTACAGTTTTGCCACACCATGCCTGGCTAATTTGGGGGTTTTTTGGGGTTTTGTTTGTTTTTTTGTTTTTGTAGAGATGAGCTTTTGCCCTGTTGCCCAAGGTGGTCTCAAACTCCTGAGCTCAAGCAGTCCACCCCCTCAGCCTCCCAATGTGTTGGGACTGCAGGCATGAGTCACCCTGCTTGGCTTTACCTGTTATTAACATCTAACATTAGTATGGTAAAGTTTTTGAAATTAATAATCCAATATTGATACTTTATCATTCAGTAAAGTTTATATTCAGATTTCCTTAGTTTTTACCTGATATTCTTTTTCTTTTCCAGGATCTCATCTAGGACAGAACATTACATTTAGTCATCATGTCTCCTTAGACCACTCTAGGCTATGACAGTTTCCCAGTCTTTCCTTGCTTTTGATGAATTTGAAAATTCTGAGATGTACTGGTCAGATATTTCATAGTACATATTTTGATTTGGATTTGTCTGAAGTTTATCTCATTAATAAAAAGGGGTATTTGTTTTTGGAAGGAAGATCACAGAGGTAAAGCATCATTCTTATCACATCAAGGGTACATGTAATTAACATTACTTATCACTAAGGATGTTAAACTCAGTCACCTGGCTGATGTAGTAGTGTTTGTTAAATTTCGCCACTGTAAAATTATTATTTTTTCCTGTCCTTTCCATGTGGTACTCTTTAGAAGGAAGTCAAGGTGCATATCCCATATTTATGGAATGAGAAGTTGTGTTCTATCTCCTTGAAAAGTAAGCATCTACAAAAAATTATTTGGAATGCTGTAAAAAATGTGCTTATTACTTCCAAATATTGTTCTATTCAATTATTCATGTATATCAGTATACATATATGTATACATATATGTATACATATATGTATATATGTATATACATGTATATACATATATGTATATACATGTATATACATATATGTATATATATGTATACATATATGTATATACACATATATGTATACATACATGTATATACATATATATGTATATATATGTATACATATATGTATATACACATATATGTATACATACATGTATATACATATATATGTATATATGATACATACATATATACGTATATATGATATATACATATATGTATACATATATATACACTACTTTGGGTTATAATCCAATATTACCTTATTTTATTGCTTAAATGGTTCTAGCTTTGGCTATTGGGAGCTATTTCAGTTGGCTCCTGTGCTACTTGGATGTATGTCCATTCACTTGTTTGTTTGTTTTGAACACTTTCTTACTTTCTGGAACTACAAGGTTCTCTAGGCTAATCTTGTATATTTCCTGCCCCATCCCTAAAATCAACCATTTCTCCAAGGAGACCTGCTAAACTTTTTGGAGATAGAAATAAAGACCTGGATACTAGCCAAGCTCTTTGCTACTGAAGTATCATTGCTTTCAGACTCCCTCAGCTGACAGACAAGTGCAGAGCTGACAAAGCAAATACATGTGTGTATACTAAACCAGGCATACATGCATATGCATGCATATCATCTATAAATATTTTTATATACCAATCTTAAGCTAAACATACATTCTTATGGATGGCTTCAACTCTATTGCATTACCACATGGATCATTCTAGCCTCCTCTTTGATTATTTGTAATCTCTCAGTCAAAGAGTAAGGAACTTAGTTCCTGGCATCCATTTGCTTAATTGTTAAATTCTAGCATACTAATAGAATGATTTCCAAACTGTTAACACATACCATCATAGTAAATAACTGTATTGTTTAGAGTAAAATGCTATGTACAACTCCTTTTTCTTTTAGACTTACATTCTCAAAACCATTTCCAAAGTTACTTCAGGTCAAAATCTCCTTCCTCACTTCCTTCACTGACTTTATGCTTTACATTTGTAATACAAATAGATTATTTTTATCATAATCTGCATTCCATCCTAGGCTCCTTGACCTCCTATATTATTTTTCCAAATGTGCATATATTAAGGTTCATTCTGTGCTATACATTTGTATGGATTTTTAAAAACTGCATAGTGTCATGTGTCCACCACTGCAATATTATATAGAATAGTTACACCACCCTAAAATATTCACTGTGCTTCATCTGTCCACCTCCTCCCTAAGTCTTGAGAAACCACTGATCTATTTTCTCTCTTTATAGTATTTTGCCTCATCCAGAATATCATATAAAAGTAATCGTATACTATGCATTATGTTTACACTGGCTTTTTAAACTTAGAAATACACATTTAAGATTTGTCCATGGTGTTGCCTGAATTAATAGCTGATTTTTAAATATCAATAAATAGTATTTCAGTATATGTATATACCACAGTTTGCTTATTCATTCACCTGTGGAAGGAAATCCTGATTGCTTCCAGTTTTTGGCAATTATTAATAAGGCTGCAATAGATATCCATATGTGTAAGTGTTATATAAGTTTTAAATCTGTTGGATAAATAACTAGAGTACAATTGTTGAATCATATAGTAAGATGATATATAAATTTATAAGAAACTGCCAAAATATTTTATCAAATGGTGTTATCATTTTACATTCTTACCAACTATGAACAGTTGTCATTGTTCTGCATCTTCTATAGCAATTGGTATTATATTTTTTAATTTTATGTATTCTAATAAGAATGTAGTGGTTTTGTTTTTTAAATTGGCATTTCTCTAATGACAAATGACATTAGACATCTTTTCAAATGCTTATTTGCCAGCTGTAAGTGAGATGTCTATCTAGATCTTCTGCTAATTTTTGAATTGGGCCTTTTTTTTCAATGTTGAGTTTTAGGAATTATTTGTATATTCTGGACACGAGTCCTTTATCCGCTATATGATTTATAAATAAATATTTTCTTTCCATATGTGGCTGGTCTATTTTTTATCTTAACAGTGACTTTGGCAGAGCAAAATAATCTTAATAATAAATAATGTTAATTTTAGTAAAGTCCAACTTATTGTTAACTTTAACAAAGACTACTTTTGTTATTATATTCAAAAATGCATCACAAAACCAAGGTCACCCAGATTTTATCTTACTTTCTTCTAGAACTTAAATATTTTTTCATTCTACATTTAGATGTATATTTTAAATTTTTTTTGTTGTTGAAGATGTGAGATCTATGTTTAAGTTTTCTAAAATTGCATGTAAGCATTCAATTTTGCCAGCAACTTCTGTTGAAAATATATATTCTTCATCAAATTGCCTTGGATCCTTTTTATCAAAATCAGTTGACTATATGTGGATGGCTCTATTTCTGGACTGTCTTCTCTGTTCTTTTAATCAATGTGTTTATTCTTATACCAATACCATCTTGTCTTCATTATGGTAGGCTTTATAGTAAGTCTTGAAATTAGCTAATGTAAACTCTCCAATTTTTTTTAGGATTATATTGACTATTTTAGGTCTTTTTCTTTGTGTATAAATTTTAGAATCAGTTGGTCAATGCATAAAAAATTTATTGCTGAGATTTTTAAAAGAATTGTATTCAATTTATATTTCGTATTTTAAAAATAGCATTTTGACAATATTGAACATTCCAGTCCACAAACACAAAATCTGTCTTATTTAGATCTTTAATTTCTTTCATTGGTTTTTCACTTTTTTTATATACAGATCCTTAAGATATTTTGTTTTATGCCTATGTATATATGTCACACTTTTTTTCTCTCTCAAACCTTCCATTTTACCTTCTCCATTCTCACTTTCAAATAATGACTTACCTGTGTCTAGTCTAAATATAATTTTTCTAACAGATATGGGGAAATTTAACATGCAGAAAGAAAGGTGATAGTTTATAAATCAATGTCATGGAGTAGACTAGATGGAATTGGATCTAATGCACAAGTTGTGAGGTTGGCCTTGACCAAGGACATGAGAAATTCACTCAGAGTAACAGGAGAGATGATAGAGTTAATGAATGCAGATGCATGTAGGTGATAGACATACTAATAAGAACTTGTAAAACACCTGTTCTGATTGCTTAAATTTTCCTAATGAAGTAGGGATCAATTTTAATCCTTACTAGCCATATATGACTAGTGGTTACCATGTGGGTCAGCACAAGTCTAGAGTGTAACTACTGGAGTGAGTAGTTGAAGTAAAGTGGGGAACAAGAATATTTGGAAGAGAGGAGATAAAAGACAGACAAGGCCAGGGTGTTAGGTCATTTACATGCATATTGAAATCATTTGGAATTATAAAAGAAACAATGTTAGACTTAGTGTCTAACATTCTGTCTAACATTCATTAATGTCTGTAACTTTAACATTAACTAACATTAAAAAACTAACATTAATTAGTGTGTCTAACACTTAGTGTCCAACATTAGTGTCAGTAAGCTGAGTGTTAAAATGTTCACAGAATAAGAGGGAGTAACCTGAAGGTTAATAGATGACTGAAATAAGTTTGATGAATAGGTGTTACAGTCTAATGATCTGAGAGTTAAAGAGTGGTATCTTTCTGGAGGAGAAAGGGACAAATGTCTTGAGAGGCAATATGAAGCAAGGAAGTCACTTGTTATACTTTTGGGCCTTGTGGTACAAGAAATATTAAACAGAAAAAATGCCATTTACTGAGAAAACTGTAGGAAAATAGTGCCTTAAAAACAGATCTAGGTGTTAGAAAAGAAAGTGAGAGTATTATTAGGTAAGATGTTGTGAGCATTGAGTTTTTTGTATGACCATGTCTGTACAAATGTATAATGAAAGGGTTTCAGAAGATGAGAAGAGTGTTTTATGAGATCTGATAGGAGGAACATTCAAGGCTAGCTGTGGAGATGAAGAATGAGTTAGGAGACTTTGGCTTCTTGGAGTGATTTGCATGATAAAAAATAAAAGGTATGCTGAGATTTCCAATTGGTCCTGATTAGACCTGATTGGTAAAGATGGAGGTCATTTTCTCTGCATGATACCGAAATTACAGACTATAAAGGTCTTTGCCTTCACAGAAAGATACCAAGAGACTAACCAATTCAATGTGGCAACACAATCTCTTTCTCAATAAATGCATTTTTGTTTCCATTTTTGGGCTTATCTTTGGTCAACATCTACAGAGCAAATTTCATTGAGAAACATTAAAACCTAGGAAAGATATATCCTTTTATCAATTTTATTGTCTGACATATCAGTCAGTTTTCAGTGAATAAATCAAACTGAGTAACAAACTAAGCTTAATATTTATCTTGATGCCTTCTAATATATTAGTTTAGTCAAAAACTGTCAAATGGTTCAAATTTTATCACAGAACAAACATACAGACAGACAAATGCAAACTGCTGAACACTGAATGTGAAGCAGAGGCTTCACTTGTTAGGTTGGCTCTTCAGCAGGATTGGGAACTTGATTATATCCAAGTGTATGATCATGCTTGGGAAAATTAGGGTAAAAGAAATTAGTTTTCAATTTTGGTTACGTAAGTGTACTTAAACACACGCAAAAATGTTCTGTTAATTGCAAACTAGTTATTTATAAACAAATAAAAATAATTGGATTGTGTAAGATTTCTAGCATTATCTTACTCTAAAAATTTTAACTCTCTTCAAATACTGACCTATTATAAGGCAATATAGCAAAGGTAGGCTTCTACTCTGCAGATTTATTTTACTTGAAATTGAGGAAGAAATACTGAACTATCATTCAACCATTCCTAAAACAACTTTTTTTTTCATATTTTCTCTTTGAGTCCAAAATTCCAGAAATGACTTTTTTCAAGTGCTTATTTTTCATTCATAGCCACGAAAGAGTTGGGAGTTTTCTAGAGGAGGTGAATAATATCTATCTAGAAAAGGCTAATGCCTTAGAAATGTCTTCTTAATGTCCCATCTCCCCATCATCACCTTCAAAACATTTCAGGATTACCTTATTGCACTGTAAATTCTCTGATATTTTATTTGCTTGTTAATATTACTAAGTGCATTATGTATACAGGACAAAATGTATTTAACTAAAATTCCACAAAGCTCTTATGTAGAATAATTATAGTTTCAATCTTTCCAATCTATTCTCAGTAAAACTTACTAACATATATTTTTAGGTCCCAGAATTACTGCAGCCCTGAATCTGGTGAAGCTCAAGCAAAGCAATCATTTGGAGGAAGAGGGCATGGATAGGACAGACACAAGTATTTTCAACTACTACAGGCAACAATCACAGCCCTTGCACACATTAGCACTAATTTGAATTCCTCCTAATTTATTCATGAATCTCTCCCCAGTTAGAAGCATGCACTCTTTCAACTATCCTATTTGGATAAGAGCTTATAGCTATTTTTCCACCGTCTTCCACACTGACAGAGACAGGTGTCATAACTTCTGTTGTACTGTTTTAATCTCTTCATGCATTTTTAGCCTTTGCATAAGCCCCTGGTTAAAAAACAGAATTGCTGTGGATGTTTCCTTTTGGAAATCTGTAACTGACAATATGGTAGGCAGGTAAGAGTTTGCAGAGTGGCACAAATTATAACTGAAACATGGGACAACACTGATAGAGCACTTGCATAGCCAGTGAGATTTATTCTGACACTAACTTAAAATTGGTAAGAAATAGTGGAAGTCCTTGGAATAATGAAGCCAAGAAACTTGTCTGAGCTCTAAATAAAATTGTGAAAGAAGTAAATCTTCTCTTCACTGTGACCAGTATCTTCAAATTTGCCTCCTTCACTACTTCCACTTTTAACTCTTACTATCACAAATTGTCACAAACGAATGCCCAAGGCTCATTTGATACTTTGTCACAGAGGAAAGCTACCTCACAAGAGTGTTGAGAAAAATGTCTTCTTACATTCTTCACTTTTCTTTTCTTTTTTCTTTTCTTTTCTTTCCTTTCTTCTTTTTTCTTGTCCTTTCTTCCTTTCTTTCTTTGCTTTTTTTTTTTTTTTTTTTTTTTGAGACAGTCTCGCTCTGTCCCCCAGGCTGGAGTGCAGTGGTGTCATATCGGCTCACTGCAACTTCTGCCTCCCAGGTTCAAGTGATTCTCATGACTCGGCCTCCAGAGTAGCTGGGATTAAGGCATGCAACACCAGGCCTAGCAATACATATATATATATATTGTAATTTTAGTAGAGACAGGATTTGGCCATGTTTACCAGGCTGAACTGGAACTCCTGGTCTCAAGTGATCCACTCACCTCATCCTCCCAAAGTGCTGGGATTACGCGCATAAGCTTCTCCTCATATTCCTTCACATTTTTTGAAATAAGAAGCCAATGCATTTCTCTATGGAATAAGCCACTAGGGTAGGACATAAGTTCTTCACAAGTAACCTCTCATAGGCAGCTTTCTAGCTTATTTTCTTATAAGGACATTTCTAAATTCAGCAGTTGACACTTGCTACAATGGATTACTATATTTTCCTAAAATAGTAAACGCCACAGAAACATAATTCCAAGGAATAGACTTGTCTAATATTGCCCAAACTTGTCTTCCTCTTTCGGTTCCCATTAGGTATGTTGCAAAAACCATCATCAGTTTGTTCTCTGTGAATAAGACAGAAAAAGGGAGGTTCAGTAATAAGTGTCCACTAAAAATTGCCAGAGTTGGCGTGTCTTTTAATTGTTGTTCCCTTGTATTATGTTGATTTGTTTGTTCTTGCCAGTGGTGGTGGGTTTTTTTAAGGGTTTTATTTTTATCATTGTTGTTTCATTTTGTTTTTGTTTTTGGTTGGAAAACACTAAAATACTCTGCTGCCTGTCTCTTCTCTTTCATTATCGAAGGGAGTAATGGAACTTTGTGCTATGAATAACTGCTACAGTAACTTCATTTATAATGAAAAGGATGGACATTACTTAAATGGCTCTTTATGCCATGGAGACAGCACTTAGTAGTTATTGTACAGGTCTTCATGACCAAACCCATGTGGAGAACTGAGCCAATTATCCTGGAACTTTAATCCCCAAACTCAATGAGTGCTATCTGAATTATCCATGTGATAGCTTCATTTCTCTGTAGGGCTTTAGGCTATCATTGGGAAGCCTAGTTATCATCATTGCTAAGACAAGTTCATTTCTTTGTTAAATGCTTGCTAGTCTGACTGTGAAGGTAATCATTACTTTTTAGCCACTTTTCCTGCAGTTATCTTGTAATAGAATGTTTGTGCTAATGGAGTAGGCAGTGTTTTGAGATGGTATATTTTAAATGTGATTGCACTTCTTTTAACCGAATACAATTTTCCTCCTTCAAAATATCCTGTAACTTGTTGTACGATGAATTTTTCAAATACCTCAATAAGGAACAGAATTGTAATTAGGAAATAAAGTATAGACTTTTAGCTGAGAAAGAATTCCATCTAGTTCCTACAAGGACCAAAATCAAGTACATTTTAATGGCCCAATGGATAAATTGGGTTTGGGATCTCTCAGAAGTGCTGTGGAAGAACTATGTGAAACAGAAGACCTGGCCAAGCTTCTGAACGTTTGTTTAGTTGGTTAGTGGAAAGAGGGCCAGCAAACTGAGAGAAAAACTATCAGGGGTGGATCGCAGTTCAGCATTACTGAGTGTTCTCTAAAATGATAAGTCTTCTGTACTAACAAGTGGCTTAGGGCTAACATTAGGATTAGAGATCTTATAAAGCAGTCTTTTGGGTAGAAATGGAAAGTGTAGGCAGTCTTGATGTATTCCAATAACTCACAGGAAAAATCAAGAATCGTAAAATTTTATAATTACTGTTGATTAAAAAGTGCATTTCTATCTGACTTCTTAGGTAAAAAAAGACTACAAAGACAAGCTTGAAGGAAAATTATGAGCTCAACCTCCATCACTGAGCAGTCTATTCCCATGTTTCAGGCTTATTTATTTCCTTCTTATAATTCATAGAAAAGTTCCTATTTTCTGGTTATTGTGAGAATGCCAACATGCTGGCCTTTTTGCCTCAACAGAAATCTTTCTTTCCTCATGATTCATTTTCTCAGAATAAATATCCTCTCACTCTTAGAGAAAAAAGGCATATAAAGGCAATATATATTAAAATTTTGATAGCCACCTACACATACAATTACTACATGTCATATATTTTTTGGCTGGGCATGGTGGCTCACGCCTGTAATCCCAGCACTTCGGGAGGCCAAGGCAGGTGGATCACTTGAGGTCAGAAGTTCGAGACCAGCCCGGCCAACATGGTGAAACCCCATCTATACTAAAAATAAAAAAAATTAGCTGGGCGTGGTGGCAAGTGCCTGCAATCCAAGCTACTTGGGAGGCTGAGACAGAAGAATCACTTGAACCTGGGAGGTGGAGGTTGCAGTGAGCTGAGATTGCACCATTGCACTCCAGCCTAGGTGACAGAGCGAGACTCCATCTCAAAAAAATAATAATAATAAAATACAATGTAAATGATTAGAAACCTGGGCATTTGGAACCAGGCACCTAGTTTGAATTTTTCTTCACTACTTTGGACATTTGAATAAGTTACTTAACCTTCCTTTTCTTCAGTTTCCTCATCTCCAAAATGGAAAAAAAATAAAATTTTCTTCATCATGTTTTGTGAACATTAAATACATTGATATGTGATGAACTCAGGGGAGTGTCTGGTATTTACTATTTTATACATGATTGCTATTAATTTAAGAACAAAAAATTAGGAATTTTCACCTGAGCATCATCTGCTCAAGTGAAAATACTGTTTCCACTCCACACTAAATGTATTAATTTTAAAGGTATGTGTATCTCCAAAATAATTAAGAAAGAAATATGATGAAAATTAAGTAGACTGCGTGAGAACAGACTAATACAATAAATTGGTACCAGGAGATAGTGGGGAGCTGCTATAAGGACCCCAAAAATGTGGAAGCAACTTTGGAAATGGGTAATTAGCAGAGGTTGGAAAAGTGTGGAGTTCTCAGAAGAAGACAGGAACATGTGGGAAACTTTGGAACATCCTAGAGACTTGTTGAATGGCTTTGACCAAAATGCTGATAATGATATGGACTATGAAGTCCAGACTGAGGTGGTCTCAGATGGAGATGAGGAACTTGTTGCAAACTGAAATTAAGGTGATTCTTGCTATGGTTTAGCAAAGAGATTGGTGGCATATTGCCCCTGCCCTAGATATCTGTGGAACTTTGAACTTGATAGAGATGATTTAGGGTATCTGGTGGAAGACATTTCTAAGCAGTAAAGTGTTCGGGCTGTGACTCGTGTGCTCTTAAAAGTATTCAGTTTTATGTATTCACAAAGATATGGTTTGGAATTGTAACTTATGTTTAAAAGGGAAGCAGAACATAACATTTCAGAAAATTCACAGCCTGATGATGAATGAAAAAGAAAAACCCATTTTCTGGAGAGAAATTCAAGCCTGCTGCAGAAATTTGCATCAGTAATGAGGAGTCACATGTTAATCGTCAATACAATGGGGAAAATGTCTTCAGGGCATGTCAGAGGTCTTCCCAGCAGGCCTTCCCATCACAGGCCCAGAGGCCTAGTAGAAAAAAACATGGTTTCATGGGCCCGGCCCAGGATCTTACTGCTTAGTGCAATCTCAAGGCTTGGTGCCCTATGTCCCAGTTGTGGCTAAAAGGGGACAACATACAGCTCACACTGTTGTTCAGAAGGCACAAACCCCAAGTCTTGGTGGCTTACACGTGGTGATGGGTCTGTGGGTGCACAGAAGTCAATAGTTGAAGTTTGGGAACCTCTACCTAGATTTCAGAGTATGTATGGAAATGCCTAGATGTCCAGACAGAAGTTTGCTGCAGGGAAGTGGCCCTCATGGAGAACCTCTGCTAGTGCAGGGCAGGAGGGAAATGTGGGATTGAAGCCCCTACAGAGAGTGCACACTGGGGTATAGCCTAATGAAGCTGTGAGAAGAGGGCCACCATCCTCCACATCCCAGAATGATAGATTCACCATCAGCTTGCATCGTGCACCTGGAAAAGCCACAGACAATGCCAGCCCATGAAAGCAGCCATGATGGGGGCTGTACCCTGCAAAGTCACAGGGGTGGAGCTGCCCATGTCTGTGGGAGCCCATCTTCTGCATCACTGTTACCTGGATGTGAGATATGGAGTCAAAGGAGATCATTTTGGAGCTTTAAGTTTTGACTTCCCTGATGAATTTCATACTTGCATGGGGCCTGTAGCCCCTTTGTTTTGGCCAATTTCTCCCATTTGGAATGAGTATATTTACTCAAGGCCTGTACCCTCTTTGTATCTAGGAAGTAACTAACTTGTTTTTGATTTTACAGGCTTATAGGTGGAAGGGACTTGCCTCACCTCAGATGAAACTTTGGACTTGCACTTTTGGGTTAATGCTGGAATGAGTTAAGACTTTGAGGAACTGTTGGAAGGGCACAATTGTGCTTTGAAATGTGAGGACATGAGATTTTGAAGGGGCCAGCAGCAGAATGATATGGTTTGGCTCTATGTCCCCACTCAAATCTCATCTTGAATTGTAATACTCCCCATGAGTCAACGTTGGGACCAAGTGGAGATAATTTTATCATGGGGGCCATTTCCCCATACTGTTCTCCTGATAGCGAGTGAGTTCTCACAAGATCTGATTGTTTTATAAAGGGCTTCCCCCTTCACCCAGCATTCTGTGTCTCCTGCCACCCTGTGAAGAAGTGCCTTTTGCCATGAGGGTAAGTTTTCTGAGGACTCACTAGCCATGCAGAACTGTGAGTCAATTAAACATCTTTTTTTTTTTTTTATAAATTAGCCAGTCTCAGGTATTTCATCATAGCAGTGTGAGAATGGACTAATACAATAAAGAATTGGTAGAATAAATAAAAAATCACAAACCATATATCTGCTATGTTGAGGAAACATACCTAATACATAAATCTTCTCACAGACTGAAGGTAAAGGGATGGAAACACATATTTCACACAAATAGAAACCAAAAGTAAGTAAGAGTAGCTGTTGTTATATCAGATTAAAAAAACTTAAAGCAACAACTATAAAAATAAAGACAAATACAGTCACTATATAATAATAAAAGGATTAATTCAGTAAGAAGATATAACAATCCTAAATAAATATGCACCTAACTCCAGAGCTCCCAGATTTATAAAGCAATATTACTAGGCTTAAGAATAGAAATATACAGAAAGAAAATAATACTGGGGGACTTCAACACTCCATTGACAACACGAGACAGATCATCAAGGCAGAAAGTCAACAAAGAAACACTGGACTTAACTGCATTCTGTAACAAATGAACCTAATAGATATTTACCAAACATTCTACTTAAGAACTGCAGAGTTTACATTCTTCTCATCAGCATATAGAATATTCCCCAAAATAGACCATATGATAGGCCACAAAACAAGTCTCAATAAATTTTAAAAAATTAAAATTGTATCAAGTACCTTCTCAGACCACAGAGGAATAAAATTAGAAATGAATTCCAAAAGGAATCATCAAAACTATACAAATACATGAAAATTAAACAGTCTGCCCCTGAGTTATTTCTGGTTATTAATAAAATCATGATCAAAATTTAAATTGTTTTCAAAATGAATGATAACAGTGACACAAGGTATCAGAGTCTCTGGGATACAACAAACACAGTGCTAAGAGAAGACTTTAGAGAGCTAAACACTGACAATAAAAAGTCTGAAAGATCACAAATTGATAACCTCATGTCACACCTCAAGCAACTGGAGAAATAAGACTAAACCAAACACATAGCTAGCAAAGCAAAAGAAATCACAAATATCAGAACAGATCTAAATGAAATCAAAACAAAAAAACAAAATACCAATGAAACAAAAAGCTGGTTCTTTGAAAAAATAAGCAAAATTGATAGACTGCTAGATAGGTTAACCAAGAAAAGAAAAAAGAAAATTCAAATTAGCTTAATTAGAAGTGAAAATAGAGACATTACAATTGACACCACAGAAATACAAAACATCTTTACATAATATTATAAACACTTATATGCACAGAAACTAGAAAATCTAGAGGAAATGAATATATTCCGGGAAACACACAATGCCCTTTGCTTGAATCATGAAGAAATAGAAATTATAAACAGATGAATAACAAGCAGCGAAATTTGATCAGTACTTTAACAACTGCCAACAACAACAATGGCAAAAAGCCCAGGACCAGAAATATTTACACCTGAATTCTACCAGACATTCAAAGATTTGGTGCAAAATCTACTGTTGTTATTTCAAAAGACTGAGAAGGAAGAAATCCTCCTAAACTCATTCTGCAAAGCCAGTATCAACTGATATGAAAACCAAGAAAGAACATTACAAGAAAAAGAGAAAACTGCAGAACAATATATCTGATGAATCTACACGCAAATCTTCACAAAATACTAGCAAAATCAAGTGGGTTTTATTCTACATACACAAGTCCATAAATGTGATTCATCATATTAACAGAATTAAAAACAAAAACAATGATCATCTCAATAGATGCCGAAAAAGCATTTGATAAAATCCAGCATCCTTTATGATAAACAATACTCAACAAACAAGGCATAGATGGAACATATCTCAAAATAATAAAAGCCATATGTAAAAAACCCACAGCCAACATCATACTGAATGGGGAAAAGTTGAAAGCATTCTCCCTGAGAACTGGGACAAGACAAGGATTTCCACTTTCACCACTTCTTTTCAATATAGTACTGGAAGTCTTAGCCAGAGCAATTGGGCAAGAGAAAGATGTAAAGGGCATCCAAATTGAAAAACAGGAAGTCAGAGCACCTCTGTCTGCTGACAATATGATCTTGTACATAGAAAACCCTAAAGAGTCCTCCAAAAGATTCCTATATCTGATAAATGAATTCAGTAAAGTCTCAGATTACAAAATCAATCAGTAACAGTGCTATACACCAAAAATGACCAAGCTGAGAATTAAATAAAGAACTCAATCTCTTTTGCATAATTACAAAAAAACCTTAGGAATATACTTAACCAAGAATAAGAACAATCTCTGCAAGGAGATTTACAAAACACTGCTGAAAAGAATCATAGATTACACAAACCAATGAAAATACATATCATGCTCATGGATTGGAAGAATCAATATAATGAAAATGACCATACTGCCCAAAGCAGTCTACAGATTCAAAGCAATTCCTATCAAAATAGTAACATCATTTTTACAGAATTAAAGAAAGAATGATAAAATTCATATGGAACCAAAAAAAGAGCCCTAATTGTCAAAGTAATCCTAAGCAAAAAGAATAAATCTGAAGGCATCACATTACCTAACTTTAAATTACACTACAAGGTTACAATAACCAAAACACAAGGTACTGATATAAAAGTAGATACAGAGACCAATGGAACAGAATAGAGAAGCCAGAAACAAAGCCAAATACTTACAGTCAACTGATCTTTGGCAAAGCATACAGAAACATAAATTGGGAAAAGAACACTCTATTCAATAAATGGTGCTGGGGAAATTGTATAGCCACATGTGGAAGAATAAAACTGAATTCTTAGCTCTAACTATACACAAAAATTAACTTAAGATGGATTAAAGACTTAAATCTAAGACCTGAAGCCATAAAAATTCAAGAGCAAAACCTTGGAAAGACGTTTCTGGACATTGGCGTTTGCAAATAATTTATGACTAAGACTCCAAAACCAAACACAATGAAAACAAAAAATAAATAATCGGACCTCATTAAAGTAAAAAGATTTTCTATGTCAAAATAAATAATCATCAGAGTAAACAAACAACCTGTGGAATGGGAGAAAATATTTATAATGTATGCATCTGACAAAAGACAAATATCCAGGATCTATATGAAGCTCAAACAAATTAGCAAGAAAAAAATCTTATCAAAAAGTGAGCAAAGGACATGAATATCTTCTCAAAAGAAGATATACAAGTGACCAACAAACATATGAAGAATACTCAACATTACTAATCATCAGGGAAATGCAAATTAAAACCACAATGAGATACCAGTTTACCTCAACTAAAATGTTCATTATTAAACAGTCAGAATAGAATAGATGTTGGTGTGGATGTGGTGAAAATTGAATTCTTATACACTTCTAGTGGAAGTATACATTTGTACAACCAATATGGAACACTTTATGGAGACTTTTCAAAGAACTAAAGGTAGATTTACCATTTAATTCATCAATCTTACTACTGGGTATCTGCCCAAAGGAAAAGAAGTGAATATATGCCTAAAAAAAAACCTGGATGTGTATGTTTATTACTGCACAATTCACAATTGCAAAGGTAAGGAATCAACCTAATATCCATCAACTGATGAGCAGATAAAATGTGGCATATATATATATATATATATATGGAATACTACTCAGCCATCATAAAGAATGACCTAATGTATTTTGCAGCAAGTTGGATGGAACTGGAGGCCATTATTCTAAGTGAAGTAACTCAGAAATCAACAACCAGATACTGTATGTTGTCACGTATAAGTGGGAGGTAAGCTATCGGTGTGCAAAGGCACACAAAGTGGTATAAAGGACATTGGAGACTCAGAAGGGGGAGGGTGGAAGGGAGGTTAGGGATTAAAAACTACCTAGTGGGTAAAATACACGCTTCTCAGGTGATGGGTGCACTAAAATCATAGCCATCACTACTATACAATTTATCCATGCAACCACAAACCACTTGTACCCATAATGCTACTGAAATAAAAACAATTAAGAGGTCCCTTTATATTCATTAGGATTGCTATTATGAAAATAATAACAGAAAATAACAAGTGTTGGTGAGGGCAATGAAAACTTGGACTCTTGTACATTGCTGATGGTAACGCAAAATGGTGCAGTCACCATGGAAAATAGTATGGCAGTTCCTCAAAAAGTTAAATGTAAAATTACCATATAAGTCAAAAATTCTCCTTCTGGACATATACTCAAAGTAATTAAAAGCAGGATCCCAAACAGGTATTGGTACATGAATGTTTAGAGAAATATTTTTTCAATAGTGGTGGAAAAGGTTCAAGTTTTCATCATGAATAAATGGATTAACAAAATGTGCCATAAATATATATGTGTGTATATGTATGTGTGTGTGACACATACACACACACACACACACAATGTAATACTATTTAGCCTTAAAAGGAAAGAAATTGTGAGACATGTTACAATGTGGATAAACCTTGAGACACTGTGCTAAGTGAGATAAGCCAGTCACAAAAGGTTACATATTGTATGATTCCACTTATATGAGGTACCCAAAGCAGTCAAATTCATAAAATAAGAGAGTTAAATGAAGATTGCGAGCATCTAGATGGAGGGGAGAAGGAAGAGTTATTGTTTAATGATTAGAGGAGTTTCAGTTTGGCAAGATAGAAAAAGTTCCGAAGATGGATGGTGGTGATGACTGCACAGCAATGTGAATGCACTTAGTGCCATTTCACTTTAGACATAATAAAAATAAAAATGATAAATTTTGTTATTTTGCCATGATTTTTAAAATATTAAATAAAAAAGAGGCAATAGAGGGCCAATCTATTGTTTTACTATTAATTTTTTAATTATAAGTAACAAGTTTTTATTCAGAAGGGTGTAGCTAGGGTTCTGGGTTTAACTGAATATATATATAAACACACACACACATGCATACATATATATACAAACACATACATACATACATACATACATATATACATACATACACACACAACCTCCAAATGCTAGATGTCTCAATATTTATTGAGAGATCTCTGGATATAACATATAACAGAGATCTCCAATTTTCAAATTAATTGAATATGGTGAAGATTCTCTGCTCTGACCCTAAATCTTTACACCAAACAGACTTGACTCCCTGAGAGTTTTGCTGACTTCATCCCTGGACTGGCATAGCAAGATTAACATAATAATGGCAAGGAGAGAAAAGAAGTAGTAATAATAGGTTTCTCTACAAGATGGAACTCTTTATTTTCCTTTGTTTTATGGAAACACTTTGTTTACTTTCACAGTGAAACCGTTAAAGCACAAATAAATCATTATCTTTTAAATTTTTCTAGTTGATTTCATTTTCTATTATACATCATGTTCATACGTACATGTTTATATATATGATGGTGGAAGGAGAAGAAATTCGGACAAAAAGGAATTTGTCTCCCTTGTGCAAAACTGGGTAAGTCCAGTTTGGTAAAAAAAAAAAAAAAAAAAAAAAAAAAAAGCCTAATCTGAGTGTTATCCATGGAAACTGGGATTCATCAAGTTGGGCAGTTACCCAGAGTTTTTGAAGGTAAATAGCAACAAAAGCAAATGAAAATTATTGAGGTTTTGAGAGTGAGGCAAATGATCTTGAGCCAACTTTCAAAACCAAGAAAATCAATCTGGGAAAAGTTTTTAGCATAGATGAGAATGAGTCACAAAGCTAACATATCAGGATCAGGTAGGTAAATAAATGAATAGAAGTCCCACTATAATAACTTTGTGTTAGTAAGATGAGACACTACACTAGGTTAACTAAATTGTCATTTCAGAATTTTTTCTCATTCCATCTTATTAATTTACTCCACCTTCTCACCAAGTCCCAAAGTATTATTCTGGCTTGTCTAGCTTTACACTTTATATATGTATGTACACACACTTTAAATGTATATTCAGAATACTTTACTAATTATATTCTGAATATGCATGTAAAATGTATATATATACACTAAAAATTTTATATATATATATATATATATATATATATATGATAAGGGAGAGAGAGAGAGAGAGAGAGAGTTTACTCTGTTACGGGTACTGATGTGAGTAATTAAAAACTATTGTTCTGTGGCTCACGCCTGTAATCCCAGCACTTTGGGAGGCCGAGGCGGGTGGATCACCTGAAGTCAGGAGTTCAAGACCAGCCTGACCAATATGACAAAACCTCGTCTCCACTAAAAATACAAAAATTAGCTGGGCATGTTGGCATGTGCCTGTAATCCCAGCTACTCAGGAGGCTGAGACAGGAAAATCACTTGAACCCGGGAGGCAGAGGTTGTAGTGAGCCGAGATGGTACCATTGCACTCCAGCCTAGGCAACAAGAGCAAAACTCTGTCTCAAAAAGAAAAAACAAAAAACAAACAAAACAACAACAACAACAAAATTTTCTCATGCAATCCTCACAATAACTTTAGGCAGTAAGTACTATTATGTTTTCCATTTTAGAGAGGATATTGAGTTATAGAGCACACAACTAAATATGTAGTAAATGTAGAATTCTAAACTAAGCAATCTGATTCCAAAGTACGTGTTCTTGACCACCATTCTCCTTAAATATAGGGAATATAATTTGTTTCTTTCCAAGGCCTGGTATAGAGGATATTCTCATGCAAAATGAAGAGAAGTTACGAGACTTGCTCCAAAGTTTGTGTGACATAAGAACCAAGGTTGTCCACAGATGTATGTGTATATCAGTGTGTGTGTGTATTTGTGTGTGTGCCTGTATCTGAAAAGGCACAATTTAAAAGGTATAACAATCATAGGAGAGAGAAGACAAAACTTACTTCTGAGCATCGAGATTGCAGAAGGCACTTCAAAGGAAGCATTTGAACTAAAACTGAATTAAGTGAAGTTCTAGTGTGATATTCCAAGCTGAAAGTAGAGAATGAGTAGTAACAAGAAAGTAATTGTGGCTTGCAAAGATCAAAGGTAGAAGTCAAAACTCTGGACTGTATTAGGTTGGTGCCAACGTAATTGTGTTTTTTTTGCCATTAAAAGTAATTGCAAGCCAAGTGCGGTGGCTCACGCCTGTAATCCCAGCACTTTGGGAGGCCGAGGTGGGTGGATCACCTGAGATCAGGAGTTGAAGACCAGCCTCGTCAACATCATGAAACCCCATCTCTACTTAAAATACAAAAATTTATCTGGGCCTAGTGGCGGGTGCTTGTAATTCCAGCTACTCAGGAGGCTGAGGTAGGAGAATCGCTTGAATCCAGGAAGCGGAGGTTGCAGTGAGCCAAGATTGTGCCACTGCACTGCAGCCTGGGCAAGAAAAGTGAAACTCCATCTCAAAAAAAAAAAAAAAAGTAATTGCAAAATTCGCAATGATGTTTATACCACCCTAATCATTTCAAATCTGCTATTTAGTAGCTACGTATGGCCTTGGCCAAGTTTCTTGAACTCATTAAGGCTTAATTTTCATGCATGTACAACATAAATATTGAGGAATGTACATTTAAATTTTACTAAGCCATTCATAAAAAGGTGATTAATAGGGACATTTGTCAGGACAGTTGAGAAATACATAATGATACTGGAAAATGTCAGCATTTAGTGTCCTTTATATTAAAATTTATATACAGGCATAACTTATTTTTATTGACTTTCACTTTATTAATGTATTAATAGACATTTAAAACAAGAATACTTTGTGTGTTTGTTATGTAACTTTACCCCATCTGCATGTTCCACAGCTTTGAGTTTCAGGATTTTCTCTCCATTAACCTTTCCCACTCTGTCAAAACCCTATCTATCTCATTTCAGATAATATAAATATATTATATTTATATAATATATATAACACCTGTGTGTTTGCTGTCATGTTCAGTAAACCTTTGCCTAGATTAATGTCATAAAGCGTTCTCCCTATGTTTTCTTCCAGGAGTTTTATTAATTCAGGTTGTACATTTACATATTTAATCATTTTTGAATTGATTCCTGTGTATAGTGCAAGATAAGGGTCCTATTTTATTCGTTGCATGCCGATATTCTGTTTCCTTGGCACCATTTGCTGATATACTATCCTTTCCCCATTAGGTATTCTTGGCACCTTTGTTGAAGATCAATGAAGTGTATATGCAAGGGTCTATTTTTTGGCTCTCTATTCTGTTCTATTGGTCTATATCTCTATTTGTATACCAGTATGATACTGTTTTTATTACTACAACTTGCTTCTTAATGTATATTTAAACAAGGAAGAATGATGCCTCAAGCTTTGCTCTTCTTTCTCAAGAACAATTCGGCTATTTTAAGTCTTTGGTAGTTCCATAGCAATTGTATATGCATTATTTCGACTTCTGTAAAAAATTCCACTGGGAATTTTGACTGAGACTGTATGGAATCTGTAGATCACTTTGAGTAGTGTGGACGTTTTAGCAATACAGGCATACTTTCTTTTATGGTGTTTCACTTATATTGCATTTTTTACAAATTGAAGACTTGTGGCAGCCCTCAGTTAAGCAAGCCTATAGGCACCATTTTTCCAACTGCATGTGCTTACTTTGTGTATCTGTGTCACACTTAGCTAATTATTTTAATATTTCAAACACTTTCATTACGATTATATCTGGAATGGTGATGAGTGTCCTTTGATGTTATTATTGTAATTGCCACAACCCACATCAACAAAAGACAGTAAACTTAATCTATAAATGTACATGTTCTGACTATTCCTTCAACCAGCCCTTTCCTTATCTCTTTCCTGATCCCTAGTCCTCACTATTCTCTTAGAAAAAATAACGTTGAACTTAGGCCAACTCATAGCCCTTCAAGGAACTCTACGTGTTCAAGTGAAAAAAAAAAAAGAAAAGCCACACATTTTTCACTTTAAATCAAATGCTAGAAATGATTAACCTTAGAAAGGAAAACAGGTCAAAAGCCAAGATCAGCTGGAGGCTAGGCCTTTTGTGCCAAACTATTAGCCAAGCTGTGAATACAAAGGAAAATTTCTTCAAGAAAAGTAAAAATGCTACTGCAGTGAACACATGAATGCCAAGAAAGCAAAACAGCCTGTCACTGATAAGAACGTTTCAGTGGTTTGGATAGATCATATCAACTAACACCTTTCCTTGAGCCAAAACCTAATCCAGAGCAAGGTCCTAACTCTTTTTAGTTCTATGAAGGAGGAAGGAGTAGGAATCTGCAGAAGAAAAGTATGAAGCTAGAAGAGATTTGTTCATGTAGAACCAAGCCATCTTGGTAACATAAAAGTACATTGTGAATTAGCAAGTGCTGATGTACAAAAGCTGCAGCAAGTTATCCAGAGGATCTAGCTAAGATAATTGGTGAAGGTGACTACATTAAACAACAGACTTTAAGTGTACATAAAATCACCTTATATTGCAAGAAGATGCCATATATATCTTCCATAGCTAGAGAGAAGTCAATGCCTAGCTTCAAAACTCCAAAAAAACCAGGCAGACTCTCTTGCTAGGGGTTGTAGCAGTTGGCAACTGTATTAGTCAAGGTTCTCTTAGAGGGACAGAACTAATAGGAGATAGATATACATATATATATATATATATATATATATATATATGGATTAGCATATATATATGGATTAGCATATATATATGCTTGGATTAGCATATATATTATATATATATATATATATATGCTTGGATTAGCTTTTTTTTAGAAATAAAAAGAAGTAACTCCTCCTCCCTCATCCACAGGTGTTTTATTATGACACTGCAGCAATTCAGTCACATCTTTAGGCTCCACTTCTAATTCTAGCTAAGAATTCTTCTAATTCTAATTAAGTATTAACTTACATGATCACAAGGTCCCACAATAGGTTGTCTGCAAGCTGAGGAGCAAGGAGAGCCAATCCGAGTCCCAAAACTGAAGAACTTGGAATCCAGTGTTCGAGGGCAGGAAGCCTCCAGTATAGGAGAAAGATGCAGGCTGGGAGGCTAGGCCCATCTCACCTTTTGACGTTTTTCTGCCTGCTTTATATTCTCTAGAAGTTGATTAGATTGTGCCCACTAGATTAAGGGTGGATCTGCCTTCTCCAGGCCACTGACTCAAATGTTAATCTCTTTTAGGCAACACCCACACAGACATACCCAGGATAAATACTCTACATCCTTCAATTCAATCAAGTTAACACTCAGTATTAACCATCACAGTGAACCTTAGGTTGAAGCCAGTACTCATTTGCCATTCTGAAAATCCTAGGGCCCTTAGTAATTATGATAAATCCACTCTGACTATGGCCAATAACTGGAACAACAAAGCTTAGATGATAGCACATCTATTTACAGCATGGGTTGCTGACTATTTTAAGCTCACTGTTGAGAGCTACTGTTAAGAAAAAAAGATAACTTTCAAAATATTGCTGCTCATGGATAGTGCACCTAGTCCCCATAAGCTCTGATGGAGATGTACAAAAAATTTGTTTTTTTTTCATGCCTGCTAACACAACACGCATTCTGCAACCCATGGAATGAATCGAGGCGCGATCTCAAATTTCAAGCCTTAATATTTAATAAATACATTTTGTAAGGCTATAGTTGCCATAGATAGTGATTTCTCTGATGCATCTGGGCAAAGTAAATTGAAAACTTTCTGGAAATGATTCACCACTTTAGATAGCATTAAGAATATTTATGACTCATAGGAGAAACATTAACAGAAATTTGGAAGAAGATGATTTCAATCCACTTCGGTGTCTTTAAGGGGTTCAAGATCTCAGTGGAGAAAGTCACTGCACATGTTGTGGAAACAGCAAGTTGGAAACAGCAAGAGAGCTAGAATGAGAAGTGGAGACTGAAGATGTGAATGAATTGCTGCAGTGTCATAATAAAATGCCAATGGATGAGGAGCTGCTTCTTACGGATGAGCAAATGAATTGGTTTCCTGAGATGGAATCTCAGGAGTAGTCCTGGTGGAGACGTTGGGAATATTGTGGAAATAACAACAAATTTAGAACATCACATCAACTTAGTTGATAAAGCAGTGGCAGGGTTTCAGAGGATTGACTCTAATTTTGAAATAAGTTCTACCGTGTGTAAAATGCTATCAAATAGCACCACATGCTACAAAGAAATGTTTTGTGAAATGTCAAGCCAATTGATGTGACAAACTTTATTGTTTTCCTATTTTAAGAAATTGCCACAGCAACCCCAACCTTCACTAACTGCCTTCTTTGTCAGCCAGTCAGCAGCCATCAACATTGAGGCAAGACCCTCTACCAACAAGCAGATTACAGCATGCTGAAGGCTGAAATCATCATTAGCATATTTAGCAATAATATATTTTTAAAATAAGGTATGGACATTGCTTTTTTAGACATAATGCTGTTGCACACTTAGTAGGCTACAGTGTAGTGTAAACATAACTTTTACATTCACTGGGTAACCAAAAAAAATTTGTGACTTTTATTATTGCAATGTACACTTCATTGAGGTCCGTCTGCAACCTAGTACAACTGACTTTGTGTTAAATATTTGTCACTTTATAGCAAGCATTTCTATGGACAGGCAGCTTAGGTAGATTCCTGGAAACTCTCAATCTATGCTTGCGTTGTTGTTGCATCACTTTATCTTTTTAACGATGAAGCTATTTTTGAGGTATTGTACTATTCAACTGGCAATATCTCTTTTGTATGCCTGTATTAGTTCTTCTTGTCCACGAACACAGGATGTAGAGCCATCGTTTGCATCTTCTTTACATTTTCATCAGTGTTTTGTGATTTTTCAGTGTACAAGTTTCTCATGTCCTTGGTTCAATATATTCCTAAGTGTTGTATTCTTTTTGGTGTTTTGTAAATGATATTGCATATTTAATTTTTTTTAGATTGATAATTGTCACGGTATAGAATTGCAACTGATATTTGCATGCTGGATTTGTATCTGAAACTTAGCTAAATTTTTCTATTTGTTCTAATATTTTTATGGAGTCTTTAACAATTTCTATACATAAGTTCATGTGCTCTGCAAACAGAGTAAATTTAACTTTTTTCTCTCTGATTTGGATGCCTTTTTTTCTCTATTCTTACAAACGTTAATGTGGTGTATTACGTTATTTTTTATATGTTTTAATGCTTTTGTCTTAAAATATATATTTCTTCATTATAATTTTTTTAATTTTAATACTTTTGAATAACTTAGAAGTAAAGTTTTTAAGACCACAAAAATGTAATTTTTATACACATAAATAGGCTTATTTACATTTTATATTGCACTTTGCATAATTTGAATATTATTATATATTTTTAATTCTTGAAGTCATTAATTTCAAAAGAACATAAACTATGTGAATGTATGATTAATTATGTTAATAATGCCTAAATAAGAATTTTATAGAAAAATATGTAGTAAGTTATGAATTATGTATGATTTGATTCATTGGTACCCATTTAAACATTGGCAATTCATTAACAAATCAAACAGAAATTTGCAATAATTTAATTCAGTTATGTTTTATATTGTTTAAAATTTTAGTCACATGAAAAAGTATAGCATTACCCATGCTTTTTTATATTGTCAAGGAAAGAATATTGAACATATTTAACAATTTGATTGATTTTTACTTTTAAAGTATGTGCGTGTTTCCATTTTTACCTTTTCCCTGACATAGAAAAATTTAGAGGTATGCCTTGAGACATCAGAAACTGGGCCAGAAAAGAATGGAAAGTTTATTTGAACATACTACTTTTCACATTACACTATATTGATGATTGTGCATCTGATTGGCCTACATATAAAATTATTCTGAATAAATTGTCAAAAATGTTTTGGCAATGTATTGTTCTAACAGTGTTTCTGATATCGTGCTCCCCATAGCGCCCCTCTTCTTTTATTCAAGGCAATCATTCATTATTCCTTCCCAGACCCTTTTTCCACCATACTCAACCCTGTTTCAGACTACAGAAATTAATTATGTAAACTCTAAGAAGTTCTAATCCAGTAACCCAGGATACGTACTATCCACCCAATTTTTCTTCTAATTTATTTTCTTGTTATCATATTTGGGCATTTCCTTGATTTCTATGTTATGGCTCTAATATTATTTCTCATTTTCTATAATTGGGCCTCTGACTTATTTTCTGTTCTTGAATGGTAGCTTTGATAACTTGCCCAATACACCGATTTCTGAGACAGCTTTTCACTTGTTATTATTGATCTCTCAAATGACTAGACGTCTGACCCCTGGTCCCCCGCCTAATTATTTTTGTCTGCTTTCTGAGATCAATTTTTTTATACTGACTTATTTGTTGTGTCTTCTTAGATTTCATATGGTACAATCATTGTACTCCAGTTATCAGCATGCTACGTTTCAATGAATCTATTCTTCCACTTGTCTTTTCTATTCTTGCATAACAAACCACTCAAAATTAGGATACTAAGCAGTAACCATTTATTTCTTCTTGATTCAGCAGGTTGAATATTTTGGCAGGCCACAGCTGAAGCTGGTCATTTTTGCTATGGTTGGCACTGGCTGGGTTCAATTAGCTATGCAGTCAGTTGGCCTGTCAGCTACAGCCTTGCTGGTCCTAAATGGCCTTATTTACCCATATCGACCTTAGTTGTGATGGCCAAAATATCAAGGCCTCTCTCTCCATGTGTTTATTCTCACTACAAACTTTCTCACCCTCAAGAAGGCTGCAACAGGCTTGTTTACAAATTTGCAGTCCTCTTAGAGAGAAAGCAGAAAGTTCTAGGCATTTTGAGGCTTACATTCAGAATTCTCATAATTATCTTTCCATCATCATCTATTAATCAGAGAAATCATATGATTGGAAGCTGGAAAAATAAGCTCCACCACCTTGGGGTAAATAAGCACCCCATTACCCTTTCAAGCCTCTAATAACCATTCTTCTACTCTCTATGTCCATGAGTTTGTTTTGAATTTTGGATCCCACAAATAAGCGAGAACATGTAATGTTTGTATTTCTGTGTCTGGCTTATTTCACTCTGCGTAATAATATCCAGTTCCATCTATGTTGTTGCAAATGACAGCATTTCATTCTTCTTTGTGACTAAATAGTACTCCATTGCATATATGTGCCACGTTTTTTATCCATTTCTCTGTTGATGGACACTTAAATTGCTTCAAAATCTGGGCTATTGTAAACAATGCTGCAACAAATGTAAGAGTTCAGATAACACTTTGTTTGCAATATTACCTTTCTTTTTAGTATATACCCAGTAGTTACATTGCTGGGTCATATGGTAGTTCTACTTTTAGTAGAAATTTTATTGCAATTTTGTACTTTTAATTTGTCTGGTAAATTTGTAATTTCTTACTAAAATTTTATTATTGTGACTGTTTTAATACCTTTGTCAGATAACTGGGACAGCTGAAAAAGCTTAGTGTGGTATTTTCACCTTCATCTTGTGATTTTACTAGTTATTGGTATAATGAGTGATTTTTAATTGTATGCTGTACGTGTTGTACAGTATATTATGAGGCTTTGTATCTTATTCAACGTTCATTTTTAGCTGATGTAGCACAAGTACAGGTAGGCGTGATATAAAGATTATTATTATTAATACATCTTATAGAATAAGAGGATAAACAAAAAAACAAAGATCACACAGGCACACACACACACACACACACACGTATATATAGGAAACCACAGGAACAGGAAGCAGAAATTTTGCTAGTGGATCATTAGAGGTAATACTGAGTAGCGCCACTCCAATTCACTTGCCTCGTAACTTGCAAATGCTGGATATGAAAGTGACAACTCCATTTATTGGGCACTGATTTAGAACATGTTCAACCTACTCAAAAACATTGCCCAAGCCCTATAAGCACCTAACTGGGTTATAAATGAGTATTGAAAAGACCATTTTATCATTCTACCAAGCCAGCTACTTCAGAATGATTGGAAACGTGGTACCACCAGTGAATCCCATAAAGATGGGACCATTGCTGCACTTCATTTGCAGTGAAGTGAGTTCCTTGATAAGAAACAGTGTCATGTGTGATACCATGACAGTGGATAAGGCATTTTGTAAGTCCACAGATAGTATGTTTGACCGAACAATTGCATGAAGAATAGACAAATCAATTTCCAAAGTGTCTACTTTGGTAAGAGCAGAGTATTTCTCCTTTCATAGTGAAAGTAAGCCAATGTAATCCACCTGCCACGAGGTAGCTTGCTGTTCATTGTGGGGAATGGTGCAATATCTGGGACTCAGTATTGGCCTCTGCTGCTGGCATATTGGGCACTCAGTCATGGCTATAACCAGGTCAGCCTTGGTAAGTTGAAGATTGTGTTGTTGAGCCAATGCATATATATATTTAAATTCTTCTCAGTTGTGGTCACCCTTTGGTGAGCATTCACATAGCATACAAATATCTTTACTTTTATGCTCATACAGAGAGGACTCTCCACATACCTCTTCCTCAGACCTCCTAGTTACCAACTTTCCAATCTGGTTCTTGCCAAATCCCTGATTATATGGCAAAACCACTGGCCACATCGCATGAACTGGTATATGCTCATACCTCTGAACATTTCTTTTTGCCAAAAAATAAATAACGAAGTGCACTGTTTGAAATTATGCCCATTGGGAGATGTTTCTTTATGACTGTCCTTTGAGGAAGTCTCAGAAAGGCACTAAAGTGCTGTAGCTCTTCACTTTCTGATTGTGCTGCATATCATACAGAACCATCTGCAAACCAGGAAGTTTAGGTCATATGGTAACTTGATAGACCATGACTAAGTGTTCTGTAGGAAGCCAAAACCATTTCCAAAAAACAGAATAGTTATACACAGACAAGGGCAGCAATTTGCTTCACAGTTCTAAGGATCTGCACTGTAATTCACCTACACAGGCCTCCAAAATGCTCCAAACAGCATCCCTATCTGACAGTGATATCTCAAGCACCATTGGATCTGCTGAATCATATGTCCCAAGTAACATATCAGCTTTCATTATAGCCTGAACCTGATGCAGAGCCTTCTCTTATTCTAAGCTCCACTGAAACCCTGCAGCTCTTCGTTTTTCAGGAAATGGACTGGGATAGTAGCACACCACACTCTCAATACCAAAATATGTATTAGTCAGGGTTCTCCAAAAAAATAAAACAAGAAAGAAATTTGATACACACACACACACACACACACACACACACACACACAATTTATTTCAAGGAATTAGCTCATGCAATTACAGGAATCTGGCACATTAATAGGGCAGTCTGGCAGAATTATCTCTGGCAGAATTTGATGCTGCAGTCGAGACCTTTTTTTCTTCTTCAAGGATATCTCAGTGTTTTCTTTTAAAACATTTCAACTTATTAGATAATGTCCACATATATTATGAAGAATAAACTGTCAACTGATTATAAATATAAACCACATCTATGAAATACTTTCACAGCAGCATCTAGATTACTGTGTGATGGAATCACTGGGTATTTTAACCTAAGCAAGTTGACTTACAGAATTAACCATCTGTATTAGTTTGTTTTTGCATTGCTATAAAGAACTACCTGGGACTGGGTAATTTATAAAGAAAAGAGATTTAATTGACTCATATCTGCAGGCTGTACAGGAGGCATGGCTACGGAATCTTACATTCATGACAGAAGTTGAAGGGAAAGCAGGCATGTTTTACGTGGCTGGAGAAGGAGAAAGAGAGAGCAAAGAGGGAGGTGCTACCCACTTTTAAACAACCAAATTTCATGATAACTCACTATCAAGACAAGAGCAAGGGGGAAATCCGTCTTCATTATTCAATCACCTCCCAACATTGGGGATTACAACTTGACATGAGATTTGGGTGGGGGACAAAAATTCAAACCATATCATCATCACAGGTATCAAGTGAGAATCTAGAATTAAGTTTCTTAAGACTCAGTAAGCATCTGAAAAATTATTTAAGCTCCATGCCCTGAAATTATTCAGGATTCTAGCAGATATAAGAATTCCTATCAAAGTAGCTCATGGATGTTTAAGAGTTGAAATTTTCAAGAGCCTTAGACACTGTGTAAAAAGCCCTGGTAGCTAATATGCACATGAAATATATGGATCCTATATAATACAGGGCTGCACATATTTTAATAGGAAATTTGGGCTTGTACATGAGAATCCTAGCACCAAATGGAATGGGCTAAATCTCAAAGACATTTTCCTAAATGTCTGAACTATATGAGGTCACCAAAAATCTTGAAAATACCAGAAAGGGGTAAAAATTGGGGCTTGAGATAGTTGAACAATTCCAATAAAATATTACTGAGACTAGATTACCCTCCAAATCAGGCAGTAGGGGACAAAAAGACAAATGCAGTTAATATAAAAACTTAAAATTACAAATACAGAGATGCAAAAATATAACTGCTTTTCTGTAACTGAACTTAATTTCTACCTGAAACTCCCATTTTGTTCAGTAGAAAAAAAAAGTTAATTTAGTCATTTACAAGTAAACTCAGATGCATCCAAATTTTATTTCACTTTTGGAGGAAACTTGTTAATCCAGTCATTCTTCAACTTTTGGGTCAAAGCCACCTTTACAATCTTAAAAAGTATTGATAAGCATAAAGAGTTTTTTTAAAATATAGATTTCATCTACGAATATGTTCTATATTAAAAATTAAAAGTGGAAGCGTATTTATTTATTCTGAAGTACCACAAAAATAATAACTATAAATAACAATGTTAATAAAAATAAACATAAAATATTATCTATGTTAGCTAAATAATTTATTTTAATAAAAATGTACTACTACATTTACAAAATAAAATTTGCAGTAAGAAGAGTAACATTGTTTTACATTTTTGCAATCTCAATGTGTGGTTTCATAGAAAAAAATTAGTTCTAATATCTGCTTCTATACTGTCAGTGGTTAAACATTGTTTCATTTGATGTACACAAAAAATTCAGCCTTACATAGATACATTGTTGAAACAGTAAAAGTATTTTAAGAAGATATTACAGATAGTTGTGGATAGTCTTTGACACTAAATCAAAACTGAGCAAGTGTTAGTTTCATAAACGTAAGTTGCAATATGGACACTGAAAATATATCGACGATATTTCTTATTATATTAAAATGCATAGATCAATCTTGTAGTTTAAATTGAACTTTTCTCCATGCATGGCTGTACAACATATTATATTGTTCATTTCAAAAACATTCGTTCATTGATGCAGAACCTCCAAATGTGAACATATTTTATTATACAGTATCAAAAAATGCATCACATTTGATACTATTTCCATAAATATTATAAGAAAATAATTAAATATTGGAAACCTGTCAGATCCATGGTGGTAAATGCAAGTTTTACAAAGTTCTAAGTTTCATTTGAAAGCTCAAATTTTATCATCGGCAACAAATAGTGTTAGTTGACATACTTGAATTGACAGTCCTTTTGTAGTTTTTTGAAAAAAAATCTTCCTAATATCCCAACATGAATAACCATTTTTTCTGTAAGCCCTTTTTGAAGTAAAGATGTGTTCCATAAAACAGTCACTAGGTTAATCCCCCAAAAATGGCAGACAGGAGACAGGACTAACTTGAAGTTCCTTCTCAGACAGAGCAGCCTATGGAGACCCACATCAGGAACTTTTGCTCCAAGAATTACCACAGGAACATATGAGAAAAGCCAAGAGAACTCACAGACCCCTTGAAGGAGATGGATTGCTGCTACAGTCTCTGTGGGACAGCCAAGAAACTGATTTGGCTTCCTTTCTCAGCTAAGAGGCTTGTAGCCTGGGACAAGTTCTCAGCCCTGCTCACCAGCTGCCTAGAAATAAACTTGGTGCTATTGGGGGAGATGGGGGAAGTGAGACCAGTCTTTTGAGCTGCGGGCTGAATGGGAGCTGAATGAGGCCTGTGGCTGCAGGCTTTCCCCAATTTCCCTTAAGATCTGTGTGAAACATCAGAGGCAGCCATAATTGTCCTGGGAACACAACTCCATTGGCCTGGAAACCACACTCTTATCCCCCACAGCAGCCTCAGCAAGCCCCACAAAAGGAGAGTCAGAGCTCAGACACGCCTAACCTTGCCCCCACCTGATGGTCTTTCTCTACCTGCCTTGGTAGCCAAAGACAGAAAACAGAATCTCTGGGGAGCTCTATGGGTCCCCCCACCACTTGACCCTAGGGAAAGCTTATATCCCCTCTATACTACTGCAGCTGATGCCTCTTGAAAGCACAACCTCCTGGCTGGACGCCAACCAACACAAAACCGGCACACTTAAAAATACAACCAAGGACCCTCACAGAGTGGATGTAACTCACCTCCTAACTCCAAAAAAGCATGTGCTGGTATCCATGGCTGAGAAACCTGAAGACAAATCACAACAAAGGACTTTTAGCAGACATTCCCAAGTAATAGCCGAGAGAATGGTAGCTCTGCTGGGTGGCTAGATCCATAAGAGAAATAACAGTCACTGCCATATGGCTCTCAGGAAGCCTCATACCTGAAGAAAGGGGGAGAGCAACAAATCAAGGGAGCACCCCATGTAACAAAAGAATCTGAAGAGCAGCCATTAAGTCCCAGATTTTCCTTCTTACATAGTCTACCCAAATGAAAAGGAACCAGAAAAAATAATCTGGTAACATAACAAAACAAGTTTCTTATCACCCCGCAAAAATCACAGTAGCTCGCCAGCAATGGATCCAAACCTCGGTTAAATCTGAGTTGCCAGAAAGAAAATTCAGAAGGTTAATTATTAAGCTAATAAAGGAGGCGCCAGAAAAAGGTGATGTCCGACTTAAATAAAAAAAAAATGATACGAGATGCGAATGAAAAAATATCCAGTGAAATAGCATAAATAAAAAGCAATCACAACTTGAAATAAAGGACGCAGGTAAATAGAAAATGCACTGGATAGTCTCAGCAATCAAATCAAACAAGTAGAGAAAAGAACTTCAGAGCTTGAAGACAAGGCTTTTGAAGTAACCCAATCCAACAAACACAAAAAAAATTAAAAAATGAGCAAAGCCTCTAAAAAGTTTGGACTTATGTTAAATAACCTAAGAATAATTGGTGTTCTCGAGGAATAAGAGAAATCAAAAAGTTTGGAAAACATATTTGAAGGAATAATCGAGGAAAACTTCCCCAGCCTTGCTACACATCTAGATATCCAAATACAAGAAGCTCAAAAGACATCTGGAAAATCATCACAAAAAGATCATTGTCTCGGTGCACAGTCATCAGGTTATTTAAAGTCAAGATGAAGGAAAGAATCTTATGAGCTATGAGGCAAAAGCGTCATGTAACCTATAAAGAAAAACCTGTCAGATTAACAGCAAATTTCTCAGCAGAAACTCTACAAGCTAGAAGAGATTGAGGTCCTGTCTTTAGCCTCCTCAGGCAAAACAATGATCAGCCCCAAATTTTGTATCCATTTAAACTAAGCTTTTAAGTGAAGGAAAGATACAGTCTTTTTCAGGCAAACAATTGCTGAGAGAGTTCACCACTACCAAGCCATCACTACAATAACTGCTGAAGAAAAGCTATAAATCTTATAACAAATTCTCAAAATATATCAAAATTTAATTTCCTCAGAGCATAATTCTCACAGGGTATATAAAACAAAAACACAATTAAAAAAACAAGGTATACAGGAAACAAACAGCAGCCTGAATAGAATAATGCCTCACATCTCAATACTAATATTGAATGTAAGTGGCCTAAATGCTCCACTTAAAAATATACAGAATGAAAAAATAGATAAGAATTCACCAAAAAAGTATCTGCTGTCTTCAAGAGACTCATCTGACACATAAGGACTCACATAAACTTAAAGGAAAGGGGTGAAAAAACATGTTCCATGCAAATGGACACCAAAAGTGAGCAGAAGTAGCTATACTTATATCATACAAAATTTAAAGTAACAGCTATTTAAAAAGACGAAGATGAACATTGTAAAATAATAAAAGGACTAGTCCAAAAGGAAAATATCACAATCCTAAATATATATGCACCTAAAACTGAAGCTTTCAAATTTATAAAACAGTTACTACAAGACCTAAGAAATGAGGTAGAAAGCAAAACAATAATAGTGGGGGAATTCAACAATCCCCTTAAAGCACTAGATAGGTAATCAAGAAAGAAAGTCAACAAAGAAACAATGGACTTTTTACTATATCCTTAAACAAACGTACTTAACAGATATTTACAAAGCATTCTACGCAACAACTGCAGAATATACATTCTATTCATCAGCACAAGAAACATTTTCCAAGATAGACTATATGATAAGCCACAAAACAAGTCTCAACAAATTTTAAAAAATCAAAATTGCAGTAAGTACTCTCTCAGACCACAGTGGAATAAAATTGGAAATCAACTCCAAAAGGAATGCACAAAACCATGCACATACATGAAAATTAAATAACCTTCTCCTGACAATAAAATCAACAATAATATCATGACGGAAATTTAAAAATTCTTCAAACTGAATGATAGTAGTTACACAAACTATCAAAATCTCTGGGATACAGCAAAAGCAGTGCTAAGGGAAAAGTTCATAGCATTAAATATCTACATCAAAAAGTTTTAAAAAAGCACAATTGACAATGTAAGGTCACATCTCAAAGAGCTAGAAAAACAGGAACAAACCAAACCTAAATCCAGCAGAAGAAAACAAATAACCAAGATTAGAGCAGAACTAAATGAAATTAAAACAAAAAAGTGTGAAAGACGAATAAAACAAAAAGCTGGTTCTTTGAAAAGACAAGTAAAATTGATAGACTATTAGTGAAATAAACCAAGAAAATAAGACAGAAGATCCAAATAAGCTCAATTAGAAATGAAATGAAAATTATTACAACCAATACCACAGAAATATAAAAGATGATTCAAGACTACTATGAACACCTTCATGCACATAAACTAGAAAACCTAGAGGAAATGGAAAAATTCCTGGAAATATACAATCCTTCTAGGTAAAGCCAGGAATAAATAGAAACTCTGAATAGACCAATAACAAGCAGCAAGATTGAAATGGTATTTAAAAATTCATCAACAAAACAGTCCAGGACCAGATGGATTCACAGCTAGATTCTATCAGACATTCAAAGAAAAATTGGTACCAATTCTATTGACATGATTCCACAGTATAAAGAAAGAGGAAATCCTCCCTAAATCATTAGATGAGGCTAACCCTAATACCAAAACCAGGAAGGGACACAGAAAAACAGAAAACTACAGACAAATATCTCTGATAAACATAGATGCAAAAATTCTCAACAAATGCTAGCTAACCGAATCCAAGAGCATATCAAAAAAAAAAAAAAATCCACCATGATCAGGTGGGTTTCATACCAGGAATGCATGGATTGTTTAACACAAGCAAGTCAATAAATGTGATACACCACATAAACAGAAGTAAGAACAAAAATCACATTATTATCTCCATAGATGCAGAAAAAACATTTGACAAAATCCAGCATAGCTTTATGAGTAAAACCCTCAGCAAAATTGGCATAGGAGGAGTATACTTTAAGGTAATAAAAGCCAACTTTCACAACCCCACAGTCAACATTATACTGAATGGGGAAAAGTTGAAAGCATTCTCCCCTGAGAACTGGAATAAGGCAATAATGCCCACTTTCACCATGCCTATTCAACTGAGGAAGTCCTAGCCAGAGCAATCAGACAAAAGGAAAAAATAAAGGGCATCCAATTCAGTAAAGAGAAAGTCAAACTGTCACTGTTTGCTGATGACATGATGGCATACCTAGAAAACCTTAAAGACTCATCTAAAAAGCTCCTAGAACTGGTAAATGAATTCAGCAAAGTTTCAGGATACAGAGCAAATGTACATAAATCAGTAGCTCTGCTATACACCAACAGTGACCAAGCTGAGAATCAAATCAAGAACTCAACCCCTTCAGCAATAGCTGCAAATAAAATAAATACTTAGGAATACACCTACCAAGGTGGTGAAAGACTTCTACAAGGAAAACTACAAAACACTGTTGAAATAAATCATAGATGACACAAACAAATGGAAACACATCCCATACTCATGGATAGGTAGAAACACTGTTGTACATATGATCATACTACCAAAAGCAATTTATAAATTCAATGCAATTTCCATCAAAATACCATCATTATTCTTCACAGAACTGGAAAAGACAATCCTAAAATTCATATGGAATGAGAAAAGAGCCCACATAGCAAAAGTAAGGCCAAGCAAAAAGAATAAATCCAGAGGCGCCGCATTACCTGATTTCAAACTATACTATAAATTCATAGCCACCAAAGCAGCATGGTACTGGTAAAAAAGTAGGCATTTAGAACAATGGAACAAAACAGAGAACCCAGAAATAAAGCCAAATACTCACAGCCAACTTATCTTCGACAAACTATACAAAAACATAACGTGGGGAAAAGACACCCTGTTCAACAAATGGTCCTGAGATAATTGCAAGCCACATGTAGAAGAATAAAACTGGAATCTCATCTCTCACCACATACAAAAATAAACTCAAGATGTATCAAAGACTTAAATCTGAGAGCTGAAACCACAAAATTCTAGAAGATAACATTGGAAAAACCCTTCTAGGCATGTCTTAGGCAAAGATTTCTTCACCAAGAACCCAAAAGCAAATGCAATAAGAACAAAGATAAATTTATGGGACTTAATTAAATTTATAACTTCTGCACAACAAAAGAAGTAATCAGCAGAGTAAACAGACAACCCAAAAAGTAGGAGAAAATCTTCAAAATCTATACTTCTGACAAAGGGCTAATATCGAATCTACAAAAACCTCAAACAAATCAGCAAGAAAAAAGCAAATAATCCTATCATCAAAAAGTGGGCAAATGATATGAATAGACAATTCTCAGAAGAAGATATATAAACAACCAACAAACACATTTTTTAAATGCTTAACAACACTAATTATGAAAGAAATGCACATCAAAACCTCAATGCAATACCACCCTTTTCCTTCAAGAATGACAATAATTTAAAAAAAAATTGATGTTGGTGTGGATGTGGTGAGAAAAGAAACACTTTTATATTGACGGTGGAAATGTAAACTAATACAATCACTATGGAAAGCAGTGTGCATATTCCTTAAAGAACTAAAATAGATCTACCATTTGATCCAGCAATCCCACTACGGGGTTTCTACTGAGAAGAAAAGAAGTTATACAAACAACAAAAAAGAAAACCTTGCACACACATGCTTATAGCAGCACAATTTGCATTTGCAAAAATATGGAACTTGTTCAAATGCCCATCATTCAACGAGTGGGTAAAGAAAATGTGGTATATACGTATATACCATAGAATACTACTCAGCCATAAAAAGGAACGAAATAATGGCATTCACAGCAACCTGGATGGAACTGAAGACCATTGTTCTAAGTAAAGTAACTCAAGAATAAAAACTAAACATCATATATTCTCACTCATAAGTGAGAGCTAAGTTATGAGAGTGCAAAGGCATAAAAATAATACAATGGACTTTGGGGACTCAGGGGAAAGGGTGGGAGTGGAGTGAGGGGTAAAAGACTATACATTGGGTACAGTGTACACTGCTCGGGAGATGGGTGCACCAAAATCTGAGAAATCACCACTAAAGAAGTTATTCATGTAAAAAAAAATTTTTAAAAATCAGTTGCGGTAATGACAGAAGCCAAACACAGAAAGATACTATATAAAGGAGACACATAATGTAAAAATAACTACTTATGGAGAAATAACTTACCACACTGAATCTCAAAAAGAATCCCTAATCCATATACTTTTGAGAGGAACACAAATTTGCCAACTGAAGTACAATGTTTTTATTCAACTCTTCTTTAATTTTGCCTTATAATGTCAGTTGAACCCCTCCCAAAAAAAGGCACTAGTTGAATTCATGACTGAAACAACTTAAGTGTTTTCTGAAACAACTGCATTCCAGGTATGTAGCAGAAATGTTTTATGCATATTTCTCATTTTGTTGAACAGAATACTAAAAGAATATATACTCAACAGCCAATATGCAATAAATCTAATCATTTTTGCTACTCCATCAAGGGCATACCTGAGTAAAGCTGGCCTTATTGTTTTCCTATGAATGTATGGTATGCATAGTACAATGAGTAATAATACAGTTGAAAGCAATTGTCTTGATTTATGCAACAGAGTTAGCAGTTTTACCCACTGGTGCTTTTGCACCTCAATGCAGTGTCAACATTGGCCTTAGTCCGTTTGGGCTGCTATAAGAAAAATAATATGTATTGGTTGGCTTATACACAACATAAATTTATTTCTCACAGTTTTGGAGCTGGGAAGTCCAAGATCAAGGTGACAGCAGATTCAGTATCTGGTGAGAACTCACTTTCTGTGTGTCTTTTTACTATGTCTTCACTTGCTGTTGGATTGAGGTAGTTCTCTGGGGTCTCTTTATGAAGACAATAATCCTATTCATGAGGACAGAGCCTCCCAATGCACCTCCCAAAGGGTCCAACTTCTCATACTATCACATTGTGTGTTAGGATTTCAACATGTAAATTTTGGAGGAAGACAAACATTCACTCTATAGCAACAGTAAAAAAAGGTAAATGATAGCTTATTATTTTTAAATGATTTTAATTTTGTGTACATGCTAAATTAATTTCAGAAATATCTGGCCTTTTATAGACCACACTTTCAATTCTAATACATTACTCAAATAATTCATTTTTATTCTCCTAAATTCTTATGAAATGTCATTTAAGTTCCAGGGTAACTATGTATCATCATGATACAAAAGGCATGCATTCATTCAGTCATTGGTACACATTTGCTGAGGTGCCTTTCAGCCATGTCACTTCTATTTTGTAAATTTCCAACATATCTTAGGTTTACTTTGGCCTGTGATCACATGGTTCATATAACTTTTTACTTCAGTGTTCCCTTACCATGAACACAAGTGTCACTGAAGGTCCACCAAAGCTTTCCTTTAGAGTAAATTTCTAACTGTTTATCAGAAATGCAGAAGAATTCAGCTTTTTCAACAACCAATCACTCTGGGGCTACTTGATAATTAATAGGGTTGTCTTAGATCCTACTCACATCCATCTCTGTTCTACTGCTGCAGTACTTTGCTAGCCTGGGAAACTTCTATAATGCAGACAAATGAGGGGTATCTGTTTAAAAACACAATGAAACTGTATAAAATAAACTGGCCAGTGGTAAGTACTTTAACAACTGTATTTATTTGCAAGTCAGAAAATGAATTCATCTGATGAGTAAAATGTTTAGAAACTAGATTGCTTATAATCCATTTTGTTTTCAGACTATTCAAGAAACTCACCAAGAAAAAAGTGGCCTCAGGCACGAGGCTACTTGGAGTTTAATTTTGGAGTGCACTGCATCATTATAAATGTGGATTTAATTTAGCAACTATTTTAAAAAAGATGTTCACTATTAAGCTGAAGTTTATCTGGCTCCAAATTTTGGCACCATTTATTTAACCTATATGTCAAAAACTGTGCTGATCACTGTTGTATACACTACTTACCTCTTCAAAACACTCATATTAGATGGGGATATTTATAACTCTATTTTACAGAATAAGAAAACAAAGTCAGAGGGGTAAAATCACTTGTCCAAAATTTTACATTTGCTAAGTGGTAAAGCAAGGCTTCAAACCCACATTTGTCTCACTCCCAAACCTATGTCTGTAATTATTCTGTCATGCTGCCTACATTTGCGATCACCTTTCACTTTTCCTTAACTCCCACCTTTGTCTAACAACTCCTACCCTTCCTTAAAATATCCAGTTTATATGTCATTTACTTTATAAAACTTTCTTTGAGTTCCTCTAACAAAAAATGCTTATTCCTTTTATTGTGATGCTATGGTAACTAAAACATATTGCAACTGTAATATTTAGATTTTTATTATGTTTATGACACTATTCTAAGTATTGTGGCTTTATTGTTAAATAAAAAGGCACAGATTAATCCTAATATAGTTTAAACTTGATTGGAGAGACACACAAGTAAATTTTTAGAAATCAAGTGGATGGCAGAATAAGGTAGTTGAAGAGAACCCTCCAGCAATCATCCCCCACTATAGGAAAACAAAATTGAACAATGCTCTATGCAACAAAACACCAAATAAGAACCAAAAATCAGGTGAGCAAACATCATATCAAAGAAACAAGGCTCTGAAGACAATAGGAAAGACACTTCTGCATTGCCTACATCACCCCTCCCTTATCTCCCAGGAGTGCATGGAGAGTATCTTTGGGCTTGGGGAATAGAGAGTGAAGTGACTGTGGAACTATTCATTGGAACTTTGTGCTGCCCTGTCATGGTGGTACATAACACAGGGCAGAATTCTACCAGCCCCCATTAAGAGAGCACTTAGACAATCCCCAGCCAGAGGGAAATACTCCATCCCAGTGGTAGGAACCAGAGTTTCAGCTAGCTCCACCGCTCAATAACAGTAGTGCTCAAGGGTCCCGAATAAATTTGAAAAGCAGCCAGGTCACAAGGACCGCAATTCTTGCACAAATCTGGGTGCAGCACTGGACTCGGAGCCATTGGACTTGGAGTGCCCATGACCCCATGAGACACCTGCTGTGGTGGCCAAGGGAATAATCACATCATCCCTGCTGCAACTGCAGGCAGTTCAGCTTGGTGAAAGACTCCTCCCTTCTAGGGAAAGAAGAGGGCAGAGCAAATAAAACTTTGCCTTAAAACCTAAATATGATTTCAAGCACAGTAAAATAAAGCAACAAGCAGATTCCTGAGGCCCGCAATTCCAGGCCATAGCTCTAGGGTGGCATTCCAAGACTCTCCTAGGATCAGAAGGGAACCCACTTCCCTGAAGAAAAGACACCTAGTCTTGAAAGGATTTAGCACCTGCTAATTAAAGAGCACTTAGGCTTGGAATAAACATCAGAGGTAGCCAAGCAGTAGTTTTTTCGGGCCTTTGGTAAAACCCAGCACTGTACTGGATCAGGTGTAATCCAGTGCAGTCCCAGTTGTGGTGGCCAAGGGAGTGCTTGCATCACGTCTCCCCCAACTCCAGGCTGGCCAGCAGTAAGAGAGACTACTTCAGTTTGGAGGAAAGTCAGGAAATAAAACAAGAGACTCTGCCTGGTAATCCAGGGAACACTTCCAAACCTTACCCAAGTGTGCCCAGATGGTATGAGTCTGCAAGAGATTCAGCGTTACTAGGCTTAGTATGCATCCCAGTGGTGATACAACTGCAGTGAACAAAGACTTAGATCACAACACTCAATTCTCTTTGAATACATGAAAAGCCTTCTCAAGCAGGATGAGTGTACAAAGAAGCTCAGACTGTGAAGGTTAGAATAAATGTGTAACTCTTCAATGTCCAGACATCAAGGAACATATACAAACATCAAGAACATCCACAATAACATGACCTCACGTAACAAACTGAATATGGCACCAGAGACAAATCCCAGTGTGACAGAGATATGTGACCTTTCAGACAGAAAATTCAAGACAGCTGATTTATTTAATATTATTTTTATTCTTAATTATTAAGGTTACATAATAGGTGTATATATTTATGAGATATATGAGATGTTCTGACACAATATACAATGTGTAATAATCACATCAGGGTAATTGGAGTATCCATCTCCTCAAACATTTATCATGTATTTGTGTTAGAAACATTCCAATTTAACATTTTTAGTTATTTTTAAATATAAAATAAATTAATGTTGACTATATTCACTCTGTTTTTCTACCAACTGTTATTTCTTATTTATTCTAACTATATTTTTGCACCCGTTAACCATCCCCACATTTTGCCCTCTACCCACTAACCTTGCCGGTCTCTGGTAACCACCATTCTACTCTTTATATTTATGAATTCAATTGTTTTAATTTTCAGTTCCCACATATTAGTGAGAACATATATTTAAAATTTATCTTTCTGTGCCTGGCTCATTTTACATAGCATAATGTCCTCCACTTCCATCCACATTGGTGCAAAAAGTAAGATTTCATTTCTTATAGCTGAAAAATCTTCCATTGTGTATATGTACCACATTTTATTTATTCATTAATCCATTGATAGACACTTAGGTTGATTTTATATCTTGGCTACTGTGAATAGTGCTGCAATAAACATGAGAGTGCAGATATCTCTTTGATGTACTGATTTCATTTCTTTTTGGTAGATAGCCAGCAGTAGGACTGCTGGATCAAATGGTAGTTCTACTTTCAGTTTTTTGAGGAAGCTCCATCGTATTCTTTATAGTGGTTGTACTAATTTACACTCACGCTAACAGTATACAAGGGTTCCCCTTTCTTGCCAGAATTCATTAATATCTGTCTTTTGGATGAAAGCCATTGTAACTGCAGTAAGGTAATATCTCATTATAGTTTTGATTTGCATTTCTCTAATGATTAATTATGTTGAGCATTTTTTTCATATGTCTGGTTGCCATTTTTATGTCTTCTTTTAAGAAATATCTATTCAGACCTTCTGCCCATTTAAAAATTGGATTATTAGATTTTTCCTATCAAATTGTTTGAGCTACTTATATATGGTTTGGCTGTGTCCCCACCCCAATCTCATCTTGTAGTTCCAATATTCCCCACATGTCGTGGGAGGGACCCGGTGGGAGGTAACTGAATGATGGTGGCAGTTTCCCCCATGATACTGAGGGCAGCAGCAGGTCGTCTGGAGTGGCCACTGCCACCATGCCGGCTGCAGTGGGGAGGCATGAGCAGTGGTGGCAGCAGTTGCAGCAGGGTGATCTTTGTGCCCCACATCCCCAGGCCCAGCAACCCCAAGGCTGCCAAGTGTGCCACCCTGACCCTTGTGCAGCTGAGCAGGACCCACCCTCAGGCCCGGAGCCTCTGTCGCTCTGGACCTCGGGACCCATGTCTCTGCTCCTGCCTACTGCCGCTGCGGGACAGGCTTGGGAAGGAGGTGGACAATCTCTGGAATCTGCTGTCCCAGGGTTGTTGCAATAGGGCCAGACTGAGTTGTCTGGTGATGCAGGAACAGTCAGTGCAGATGGGCAGAGAAGGGACCTAAGGTGGAGCTGGTCCTGCGGCATTGCCGTGCTTTAACACAGAGTGCAGGGGTCAGGCTTGGGATGCAGAGCTAGGGTCATTTTTCAGCGGCCTGCATTGGGAAGCGGGAGTGGCACCCATTTGGGGACCTGGCCAGTTGCATGGTCACCACATCCACCCCACAAAGGGTGCTGGGTTTCTTTGCCTCAGGAGGAGGCTCTGTGCAAGCCCGGCCAGGGCCACATCCCCAGGGTCCACCCCACATTGGGGTGAACACCAAGCATGAAACTCCTGATAGCTGGACCTGGGTTCCATGATCTTTTCACAGAGGTGCCCACCCTGCAGGGCCATGAACCAGGCAAGGCAGAAGTTCTGGCTGTCCCTGAGCACCAGGGTGATAGGGAGCTTGCAGCAACATTGCCCAGCCCCAGACAGTGGCCCTAGCCCAGCAAGGACCTGGAGCTCCTGCCCCAGGCTATGAGGGGGCACAGCTGTGGCTGCATGCTCCAGGGAGCTGGTGGAAGCTGGAAGCAGACACCAGCCCCACCATCCTGGGTACAGCTGTGGCCACCCAAGTCAGGGATGTGGACCTGGGCCTCCCTGTGCTCTTGGGAGCCCAGAAGGCACCCCACTGCCTTTGCAGTCTCAGAAGTGTCTGGTCCCGCTACCTGGCTTCTCTCTGCTGTTGATGCCTGCTCCAAACTTGGAGCAATGTAGCGCTTAGCCTGAGCACTGTCACAGCCCAGCCGGGGGTTCACATGCTTGGGGCAGGGCTGACACACCAGCCCCCTGCCACTTCAGCCCCCTCTGGACATTGGGAGAAAACAAGAGTGAGAGGGAGCCTGGACAGGGGGCAAAGGACAGCTCAGTGATGGCCTGCAGGTGCCCCTTGGCATAAGCAGCCTTGGCACCATGCACAGTGTCAGGAAGCAGATGAGCTTCTGGACAGAAGGGAGTGGGCCCCTGGTGAGGCCCCACCTACAGACCAGGGAGGGCCTGAAAGCTGAGGGCTGGGCTTCTAGTCCTGTGGCCTGGAGTAAGGGCTTGTGGTACTTTTTCAAAGCCTGCCTATGGCTTCCCATAAACCAATTGACACACACGTCATCCTCTCTCAGGCCCATAAAAGCCCTGGGCTCAGCCAGAGCAGAGCAGAGAAAGGGGAGATGACCAGATGACCAGCTGCAGAGAGGAAATACCCTCTATGCTGAGAGATGCAGAGACGATGAGATGACCTGCCTTCAGAGAGGAGCCACCCATTCTAGGTCATCCTCTCTGTTGAGAGTTGCAGACAATAATCAGCTGCAGAAAGGAGCTATCCTCTCTGCCAAGAACTGAACACTTGTTGGGATTACCTGCCTGCAGAGAGGAGCTACCTTCTTTGCTAGGATCTGAACACTCACTGGACACCCTAGCTATGGAGACGATCTGCCCACTGCAGGTCTTCTCTGAGCTGTTCTATTGCGCAATAAAGCTCCTCTTCATCTTGCTCACCCTCCACTTCTCTGCGTACCTCATTCTTCCTGGTCACAGGACAAGAACTCAGGACCTGCCAAATAGCAAGGCTAAAAGAGCCATAACACAAACAGGGCTGAAACATGCCCCTTGCTCACCACATTGCAGGTGAAGACAAGGAGAGAAGACCTGTGGTTCTTCAGGGAGTGCAGACCTTGGAACTGCCTGAGCCAGGGCTGTGACTCCGTCTTTAGGCCCCTGCAATTCCTGGTTCCTCCAAGCTTCTGGGCACCACTGCATTCCCTGGTGCCAGCTGGGGAACCTGCTTGTGGTGCACCTGGTCCAGCCACAGGCCCACAGATAGCTGGAATGAACGCCAGCACCTGGATTTGACTATCTTGTGATATCAGCCGGAGTGTCTTACTGTGCAGTGGCCAGACCCTACACTTGCTTACATACCTCTCATTGTTCCATGCCTGACTCACAGTCTCTCTTGGAGGCATGGGATCCAGGCTAATAGCATGAGCTGAGCACAGCCTGCCAGGCCAAATGGGTGGAATGAACCCAGCAAGCCTGAGCAAAACTCAGGCAAAGATACTACTGGCCACAGATTTCTGGCCAGAAAAGTGACACCTTGAAGATCCTGTAACAACTTGGGGGCTCATTAGGGATCTGTGGAAGGGTAAGTAAAAGCAGATCAACTCTTTCTGTCCTTTTTTCAGAGTCCCTAAACTCCACAATAGCCAAAATGCAAGACAAATACCAGGCCTCTGTCAGACAGGTAGAAGTGACTAGCACAGCTGCCAGACTTAAGACATGGAGGACAGGCTTGCTGGGGAGGACAGTGTCAATCCCCCATCACCCTTGAGTGTTGGGAATGAGGACACTGTCAATTCCCCATTACCCTTGAGTTTTGGGAATGTTGGCTTTCTTCCAACTCAGTTTCCCTTCTTGGAGGTCTAGCCATCATGTGACACTGGAAGGAGGTGCTGGGGCAACTGAGGGTATCTGAGAGTAGCCATCAGTGTTATCCAAAGACCCCTGGACTAACTCTAGTCCTCAACCACCTGTTAGGGTGTCAGCACTAGGACCTCCAGTATTTCCTACTATTTTTTCTTTCTTTCACACTGCCATGGTTTCTTTCTCTTCTTTATATACAATGTTAACTGTTAAGGATCTTTTTGCAAACCAGAGATGTTACTGGGTAGAATGAGCATTTGGCTTAGTCATCAAAAGTATAAAATGGAAGGTTAAGAGTAGCACAGATGAAGCAAAGTGTGCCTTGGCATCTTATGTAAATTTGTGGTGAAAATGTTATTGTAATTTTCTTGGTTGCCAACTTAATACTTGAGGTATAGAAAAGAACCGTGACCTCAGGAAGGATGCTTTTCTGTAAATGTGAGGACAAATGGTCCAATGTTCCATATGTGCAGATCTTCTATACCTTGTAGGGTAATCTGGACCTTTGGCAACATTGTAGGATTGATTCAGTCCTTCTATTGGCCATCTCAGGAGAGGCTGCAAGGGGCAATTTCAAGGAAATAGGGAAGCAAACCCCAGAGGTACCTCCAGCGGGGGAATCAAGCCCCTCAGCTCCTCCTTACCCAGGTTTTCTCTCAAGCTTGCCCCAGCCTAGAAATCCTCATTTTAGGCAAGTCTCGCTTCTGCCACTATAAGAGATGCTAGGTGGCTATGGCCCCATTAAGGTCCCCTTTTCTCTACAGGGCTTACTGTAAATTAAGAGAGGTTTTGGCAAGTTTTCATACAGCCCTGACAGGTATATAAAGGCTTTCCAGAACTTAACCCAAGTATTTAAGCTCTCCTATAAGGATGTCATGTTACCTTTGAATCAGACCCTGACCACAGATAAAAGGCAGGCCATCCTGCAAATGGCAGATAATTTTGGGGATGAGCTTTGTTTCTCATATAGGGCCAGGGAAGGGGATGAGACTTACTTGATTGGAAAAGTAGCAGTGCCATTTGAGGACCTTAAATAGGACCCCAATGATGAAATAGGAGAAAGAAGGAAGAAACACTTTCAGGTGTGCATACTATAGGGCTTGCAAGGCACTGAAACTAGGCCTCTTGATTACTAGGCTATCCACGATAGACTAGAAATTGGATAAAAGTCTCACTGCCTTTCTGGGGTGAGGTGGGGTGGCGCTGGGAGGAGCCTTGGCAAAGCACACCTCTCTGTCTCCTGACTTGGTCAAAGGACAGCTGGTCCTAGGGGATAAGTTTATTGCACAGGCAGCCTCTGATGTCAGAAGGAAGCTGCAGAAACAAGCTGTGGGACCAGATGGTACTTTAGAGGGCCTCTTGGGAGTGGCCACCTTAGTGTTTTGCAGTGGAAGCTGGGAGGAAGTCCAGAAAAGGGAGGGGAGATATAAGAAAAAGGCAGACGCTCTAATAACTGCCTTATGGGGTCCTGGCCCCAGAGTCCCTGAGATGCACCTGTTGACTGCCACAAATGTGGTGAGTCAGGGCACTTCAGGAGGGACTGTCTGAACAATGGGAGGAGGCCACCTGTGCCCTGTCCAGTTTTCGATGAGGACCATGGAAGGGCGAACTGTCCACAGAGACATGGGTCAATGGGTCCAGGGCCAGTTTCCCAAATGGTCCAGCAGGATTGGCAGGTCCCATGGCACCTCTGCCTGGCTCTGGTGGTTCAGATCACCATTGCCATCCAGGAACTCCAGTGATTCTGTGGGTTGAGAAAAAGAGGGTGGACCTCCTCCTGGAATCTAGAGCAGGCCTTTCAGTTCTCCTCTCTTGACAGGACCATGAGTGGTGTCTCAGATCTCCTTCCTCCACCATGTTAGAAGTCAACAGAGTCCTGTGAATATAGAGAGCTTTTCTATGTGAGGGGTTTAGCTTTTTTTTTTCTTTTGGGAAGCACCTTAATAGGCCAGGTTCCCAATTCCCGGGACTCCCTTTCCCTCCCTTGTTTGAGGAAAATATGGTCCCACAGCTCCACCAGTTTATGATAGTGGAGCAATAGAGAAGGTGCCCCTACCAATTCCTAGATTCAATTTGGTGAGGGCCACCTGGGACTAATTTAATGGGTCCAAACACACTCCTGAGGCATCTTTTTGTCCCAAGGTTTGGTTTGAAGACCTAGAATGGAACACTAGACCTGAGACAGATCACAGCAGGAGTCAAAGAGTACAGAACAGGTGAGCATGACCAATTCCTTCCAATTAAGCCCTCCCACTTTGTTGATGGAGGTCATGCTCACATCCATGACATAGTTAAGGTATAGGGAACTCAAAGGTTACTGACAGCAGGAGGCTTAGGCACTGCACAGGTAAGTGAGAATATTCCTGAAGTTAAGTCTCCCCACTTCATGGGTGAAGGTTGCACTTGCACCCATGGTCAGCACCTGCACAGGTTGCCAGGACTCAGGGATATAAGGTCAGGAGAAAAAGGGATGTCTTTTTTTTCTCTCCATCAGGTACCATGGGTATTTGCTAGGAAGAGAGAGAACAATGGGATGCCTTTTTCCCCTCTTCAGATGGGTAACCAATCATTTTCAGCCTGCACTCCTCTCCAGTGCATCCAAAATCACTGGAACCCACTTGATGCTCAGACGTTGGAGAAAGAAATAAAAAATACTTTTCTTTTTTCCTCCTTTGTCCTCTCTTCATAGATGTGTACTTGCATCTCCATAGCACAGGACACTCCCCTCAGATATATCCTCCAAATTGGGAAGAGTTTTATTTTCCCAAACCGTAATTGCTTGGCAATTACTTGAGGACGGACAAGTTCTCTTTGTCTTTTTCCCCTTCACAGGACTCCAGGGTCAACAGGGCTCCGTAGCTCAGGGGAACAGAACCCAGAAGGCTGTCATGCTGACAAAATGGTAAAAGTTCTTACCAGTCAGACTTTTGACTTCTTTCTCTCTGTGCAACTGGTTACATGAATGGTAAAAGGCACTACATTCTCTGCCCCTCCATAATGAGTGCAGAAGCCAGAAATATTTGCCATTTGGCATGGCTAAGGTTGGGTAATAATAGATTTAAAAGAACTTCTTAAGAAGAGAGTGCTATGGTTAAAAGTCAGGTTAATTAAAGATGGATATCCAAGTATAGGTATATTTAAAAGGCCTTTATGTCTTTTCTTTTCGTGAATCTTGTTTTTCTGGAAAAAGGTGTTTCTTCTTAGTCAACCGAATTATTTGTCTCCATTTCTGTCTTGCCACTCTTAATGCACACCTGAGGGACTCCAGGATGACTTCTAGTGGCCTGGGATTCCTTGGAAAAAGAGCTATACCCCCAGCACAGTAATCCAATTAAGAGTTTGGCACATGAAAAATCTTAACAACTACTAGATCTCCTTCTCTCTATCTGTGTAGATAGATATGTGTTATATTTGTGATGCTTATATGAAAGAGGTCTTTAATTCATTGGCTTAAGGAAAAATAAGTGCTTAGATCAAATATTTTTAAAGAAAAATAGAAGCTGTAATGCCATTTAGTTCACATGACTTTAATCTTTGAGAAATAGAAACAGTTATAAAGATTATTGGGAAAATAGAAATGTCTTCAAAATGTAGATATGTGGTCCAAAATGGTAAATCTAAAATTCTGATGTCTGAGTATGTGTTATCAATTATAATTAGGGTTATTGTGTTAGGTTATAGTAGACCATAGAGGTGACCACATTTATTTGTCAATCATGTTTGACTGTTACTACCCTAGTACATTTTGATATTAACAGACAATTGCGTTGTTTTTATCCTCTTCAAAAGATGGATTATAGTTCTTGAGTGTAGGTTTCTGATAACTTTGGAGATTGTGAACAGGAATTTCCTGGGTGGACTAAACTAATGGAAGACAGAAGTAATCTTTTCTTAAATTTTTTGCTTAGAAAATTGCTAACATTTTGTTTGTTTCTCAGCATCAAAGAAGCTTTTCTTTTGAGCTATTTGCAGCTTTTGACAAGAGAGTAAAGTATATTCCTGTGAACCAACCAGTAACATCTGACTGCAGCTCAGAAGAGACAAGATGGATGGGCCATGAAAATCCAAGTGGTCATGCAATAAAAGCCTCAGACAATGGCTTCCTTTTTACCAGGGATTCTTAGCTAGGCCTCTGAGAGAGATCCCACAGCCATTTTCCCAAATACAATGCCCCTGTCAGCATAAAGCATTTAAGAGTGGCTATTGTTCCTATCCCAATGGCAGTTACATGTACCTCTTCTGAGTGGGGATTGATGGCAATGGTGGGCCATCTGAAGTGGCCACTGCCCTGCACCAGCTGCAGTGGGGAGGCATGAGTGGTGGTGGCAGGACCAACTTCAAAAGCAGCAGTGGCAGTGAGGAGACCACTGTGCCCCATATCCCCTGTATCCCATGTTCCTGATGCAGCTGACTGTGCTGCCCCCACCCTTGCACAGGTGGATGAGACCCATCCCCAGGCCTGTAGCCTTTGTCACTCTGAACCCTGGGCCCACATCACTGCTCTCGCCTGCCACTGCTGTGGGGAGAGTGTGGAGAGGAGGCAGACAGTCCCCAGACCCCTATGTCATGGGGGACATTGTGTTGGGGCCAAGCCAAGTCACCTACCAGCAGGGAAGCTGAGTCGTTAAGTAGAGAGGTGCCCCAAGGTGGAGCTGGGCCAGGGTATTGCCATGCTTGTACACAGAGCATGGGGGCTGGGCCTGGGGTGCAAAACTGGGGCTATGCTTTGGGACTCCAGGGCTGAAAGTGAGAGTGGTGCCCACTTTGGAGACCTGGCCAGTGGCTCGGTCACTGTGCCCACTTCGTCAAGGGTGCTGGGTTCCTGCGCCTTAGAAGGAGGCTCTGTGCAGGGCCTCCTTGGGCCATGCCCCTGGGGTCTGCCACAGATTGGGGTGATTGCTGGGGCTGACACTCCCAATGGTCAGGCCCGGGGCCCATGATCTGCTCCTGTAGTGCCCCTTAGGCAGGGCAGCAAGCCAGGTGAGAGGGAGCCCTGGGCCACTACTTAGCCCTGGGACCATGAGGGTAGCTCATGGTAATGTTGCCTCTGCCCTGGACGCTGGCTTGGACCCAGCAACGACCTGGAGTCCCTGTCTCAGGCTGTGAGGGGCTGTGGCCAGAGACACACACTCAACAGTGCAAGTGGGAGCCAGGAGCAAGCCCCAGCCCCTCTGAGGCTGGGTCCTGGGTGTGGCTCCAACTGCCCAAGTGGGGGCTGTAGACCTGGGCCTCTCTGTGCTCTTGGGAGCAAGAAACAGGCAGGATCCTTATTATCCTTGGGTGCAGGTTCAGCCACCCAAGTTGGGGCTGTGCACCCGGGACTTTCTGCACTCTCGGGGGCCCAGAAAGTCCCCTGCCACCCTTGCAGGCTCAGAAGTTCCTGCTCCAGCTACCTGGCTTCTCCCCACTGTCAGTGCCCACTCCTATCTCAGAGCAATGTGGAGCTGAGCCTGGTTGATGTCACAGCCCTGCCAGGGGTTCACACATTTGGGACAGTGCTGACACACCAGCCTCCTGCTGCCTCAGCCCAGTCTGGATGTTGGGTGCCAACAAGAATGGGAAATAGGCCAAGTGGGGGGCTGAGAACAGCTCAGCACTGGCCTGCAGGTGCCCCCTGGTATAAGCAGCCTGGGCACCATGGATGGCAGCAGGAAGCAGATGTGATCCTGGGTGGAAGGGTACTTGTCCCCAGTGAGGCCCCACCTTCAGGCCAGGGAAAGCCTGGAGGCTGGAGGCCTGGCTGCCAGTCCCATGAAGCAGAGTGGGGGCTTGTGGTGCCTTTTCTGGGCCTGCCCATGGCTGCTCATGGACCAGTTGGCATACACTTTCTCTCCTCTGTGGTTCATAAAACCCTGGGCCCAGCCAGATTAGAGCAGAGGTTGGAGAGATGATGGGATGACCAGCTGCAGAGAGGAGCTACCCTCTTTGCTGAGAGATGTAGAGACAATGGGACAACCTGCCTGCAGAGAGGAGCCACCCACTCCAGGGCCTACTCTATGCAAAGAGCTGCAGATGATGGAACAACTAGCTGTAGAGAGAAGCTACCCTTTTTACTGATAGCTGAACACTTTTTAGGATGATCAGCAGCAGAGAGGAGTTTCCTCTCTGCTGAGAACTGAACACTTGTTGGAATGACCTGCCTGCAACGATGAGCTACTCTCTCTGCTAGGAGCTGAAAACTTGTTGGGATACCCTGGCTACAGAGAGGAGCTGCCCACTTTGGGTCTTCTCTGAGTTGTTCTATTGTTCAATAAAGCTCCTCTTTGTCTTGCTTACCCTCTACTTTTCCACATACCTCATTGTATTAGTTTGCTTTCACACTGCTGATAAAGACATATATGAGACTGGGTGATTGGTAAAGAAAAAGAGGTATAATGAACTTACTCTTTCATGTGGCCGGGGAGGGCTCACAAGCATGGTGAAAGGTGAAAGGCACATCTTACATGGTGACAGGCAAGAGATAATGAGAGCCGAGTGAAAAGGGTTTCCCCTTATAAAACCATCAGATCTTGTGAGACTTTTTCACTATCATGAGAACAGATTGGAGAAAACCATCCCATTGATTTAATTATCTCTCACCAGGTCCCTCCCACAACATGTGAAAATTATGGGAGTTATAATTCAAGGTGAGATTTGGGTAGGGACTTAGCCAACCATATCACTCATTCTTCCTGGTCACAGGACAAGAACTCAGGACCCACTAAATGGTGAGGCTAAAAGAGCTGTAACACAAACAGGGCTAAAACATGTCCCTTGCTTGCCACATTGCAGGTGAAGAGAAGGAGAGAAGACCTGTGGCCCTATGAGAAACCCAAACCTGGGAGCTCCCCAAGCCAGGGCTGTGACTTTCTCTTTGGGGCCCTGCAGTTACTGGTGTCTCCAAGCTTTTAGGCACCACTGCCTTCCCTGGTGCCAGCCAGGGATTCTGCTTGTCATGCACCTGGTCCAGCTGCAGCCTCACAAAGAGCTGGCACCCATGCCAGCACCTGGGGCTGCCCACCCCATGGCAGCAGCCGGTGTGTCTGACTGTACTGCCCCGACACCACACTTACTCACACACCCCTCACCACTCCATGCCTGACTTACAGTCTCCCTTGGAGGTGTCAGATGCAGGTCGGTAGTGTGAACTGAGCACAGCCTGTCAGGCCAAGTGGGTGGAACAAGCCCAGTGGGCTCTAGCAAGACTCAGGCAAAGGTGCAACTGGCCACAGGTTTCTTGCCAGAAAAGTGACACCCCAAAGACCTTGTATGGCCATTCTCATGATAGTGAGTTAGTTTTTATGAGAGCTGATGGTTTTATAAGGGGCTTCCCCCCCTTTGCTCTGTACTTCTCATTCCTGCATCATGTGAAGAAGGAAATGTTTGCTTTCCCTTCCACCATGATTATAAGTTTCCTGAGGCCTCTCCAGCCCTGCAGAACTTTGAGTCAATTAAACCTCTTTATAAATTAGCCAATGTCATGTATGTCTTTATTAGCACCATGAGAATGGACTAATACAGTAAAATGGTACTGGGTAGTGGGGCGTTGCTGTAAAGATACCCAAAAATGCGGAAGCAACTTTGAAACTGGGTAACAGGCACAGGTTGGAACAGTTTGGAAGGCTCAGAAGAAGATGGAAAAATGTGGGAAAGTTTGGAATTTCTTGGAGACTTGGAGGCCTAGAAGATAGGAAGATGTGGAAAAGTCTGGAGCTTGCTAAAGACTTGTTAAACAGCTTTGACTGAAATGTTGAGAGTGATACAGAAAATAAAGTCCGGGCTGAGGTGGTCTCAGATGGAGATTAGGAACTTGTTGAGAACTGGAGTAAAGGGCACTCTTTCAATGCAAAGAGACTGGTGGCATTTTGCCCCTGCCTAGAGATCCATGGAACTTTGAACTTGGGAGAGATGATTGAGACTATCTGACAAAAGAAAGTTCTAAGCAGCAAAGCTTTCAAGAGGAAGCAGAGCATAAAAGTTTGAAAAATTTGCAGCCTGACAATGCAACAGAAAAGAAAAGCCCATCTTCTGGGGAGAAAATAAAGCCTGCTGCAGAAATTTGCATAAGTAACAAGGAGTCAAATGTTAAACACCAAGACAATAGGGAAAATGTCTCTGGGGGCAGTCAGAGACTTTAACAGCAGCCCCTCCCATAACAGGCCCAGAGGCCTAGGAGAAAAAAATGGTTTTCTGGGCTGGGTCCAGGGCTTCTCTGCTGTGTGCAGGCTTGGGACCTGGGGCCTTGCATCCCAGCTACTAAAGCTGTAGCTAAAAGAAGCCAACATAGAGTTCAGGCCATTGCTTCAGAGGATTCAAGACCCAAGCACTGGCAACTTCCATGTAGTGTTGAGCTTGCAAGCGCACAGAAGTCCACAATTGAGGTTTGGGAAACTCCAACTAGATTTCAGAGGATGTATAAAAAGGCCTGGATTTCCATGCAGAAGATTGTTGCAGGGATGAAGCCTTCATGGGGAACCTCTGCTAGGGAAGTGCAGAAGTGAAATGTGGGGTCAGAGGCCCTATGTAGAGTCCCCACTTGAGCACTACCTAGTGGAGCTGTGAGAAGAGGGCCACCATCCTCCAGAACCCAGAATGGTAGATCCACTGACAGCTTGCACTGTTCATCTAGAAAAGCCACCGACACTCAATGACAACCTGTGAAAGCTGCCAGGAGGAGGGTTTTTCCTGCAAAGCCACAGGGATGGAGCTGCCCAAGGCTGTAGGAGCCTACCTCTTGCATCAGTGTGACCTGGATATGAAACATGGGGTCAAAGGAGATCATTGTGGAATTTTAAGGTTTAATGACTGCCTCGTTAGGTTTCAGACTTGCATGGGGTCTGTGATCCCTTTGTTTTGGCAAATTTCTCCCATTTAAAGCTAATGTATTTACCCAATGCCTGTACCCCCATTGTATCCAGGAAGTAACTAACTTGGTTTTGATTTTGCAGGTTCATAGGCAGAAGAAACTTGCCTTGTTTGAGATGAGACCTTGGACTTGAAATTTTGGGTTGATGCTGGAATGAGTTAAGACTTTGGGAGACTGTTGGAAAGGCATCGTTGTGTTTTCAAATGTGAGGAAATGAGATTTGGGAGTGGCCAGGGAGGAATGATATGGTTTGGTTGTGTCCCCATCCAAATCTCACCTTGAATTGTAGTTTCATAATCCCCACGTCATGGAAAAGACCTGGTGGAAGGTACTTGAATAATGGGGGCAGTTTTCCCTATGCTATTCTTGTGATAGTGGGTATATTCTCACAAGATCTGATGGTTTCATAAGGAGCTTCCCACCACTTCACTCTGCACTCCTCTTTCCTGCCACCATATGAAGAAGGACGTGTTTGCTTCCCCTTCTGCCATGATTATAACTTCCCTGAAGCCTCCCCAGCCTTGCTGAATTGTGAGTCAATTAAACCTCTTTCTTTTATAAATTACCCAGTCTTGCTATGTCTTTATTAGCAGTGTAATAATTAACTAATACAATTTTCTTTCATTCTGTGGGCTAAGAATATGATTTACATTTTTCAGAAGACAAACAGATGTCCAAGAAGCCGTGTGTAAAAGTTCAATTTTTTCTGCATACTCATCCACATGTTATGTTTTTTTTAATACTAAGTAACCTGACTGGTGTAAAATGATATCTCATTGTTGTTTTAACTAACATTTCTCTGATGCTTAGTGATGTTGAGTAATTTTTAATAACCATGTATTGTTTTTGTGTATTTTCTCCCACTCCAGAGGTTGTCTGTTTACTCTGTTGATTATTTTTTCCTGTCCAGAAGTTTTTTTTTTAATTTAAGCCCAATTTGTCTATTTTTGTTTTTGATGCCTCTGTTTTAGAGGTCTTAGTCATGAATTGTTTGCCTAGACCAATGGCTTCAAGAATGTTCCCTAGGTTTTCTTCCGGGATTTTTATGCTTTCAGATCATACATTCAAGTCTTTAACTCATTTTTAGATTATTTTTGTATATGGTAGGAGACAGTGATCCAATTTTATTCTTTTGCATATGGTAATCCAATTTTCAAAGCACTATTTATTAAAAACAGTGTTCTTTCCCCAGTGTATGTTCTTGTTGATTTTGACAAAGATTAGTTAATTCGTTGGCTGTAGATATGTGTCTTTTTTTCTGGAGTCTTTATTCTGGCCCATATATATATACACACACACACATATATATATAGTGTATATGTATATATATACTATATATATATATATAGACTATATATATATACACACACACTATATATAGAGAGAGTATATGTACATAAACACTATATATAGTGTATATATAGTAACCAAAACAGAATGGTACTGGTATAATACCAGTATAATATGTATATAATATATACACAATATATATACGATACATACGATATATACATTCTTTTTGGTTACTATATATATATTCTCTCTATATATATAATATATACACTCTCTATATATATAATATATATACTATATGTATACATATTATTTTGTCCCACTTTTCTCTAAGAAGTGGAACAAAACAAGGATGCCTACTTTTACAATTCATATTCAGCATATTACTGGAAGTCCTCGTCGTGGCAACTAGGTGACAGAAATAAAATAAAAGGCATCCAAAATGGAAAAGAGGAAGCCAAATTGTCTGTTCACTGATAATATAATTATACCTAGAAAACCCTAAATACTCTATTATTAGTATTTTGATAAGAATTGCATTGAATCTGTAGATAGATTTGAGTAGCATCAACATGTTAACAATATTTATACTTTCAATACATGAACAGAAAAAAATATATTTTTATATCTTTCCCAATATGTGTCATCCATGTTTTACAGTTTTCATTGTAGAGATCTTTTACTTCAGTTAAGTTTATTCCTAGGTAATTCATTTAATTTGTAGCTATTGTAAATGGGATTACTTTCTTGATTTATTTTTCAGGTTGTTTGCTAATGGCTTCCAGAAATAATAGTAATTTTTGTATGTTGATTGTTTACTCTGCAACTCTACTGAATTTGCTTGTTAGTTCTAAAAGTTTTTTGGTGGAGACTTTAGGTTCATCTAGACATAAGATTATATCATCTGAAAACAGGAATAATTTTATGACTAATATTCCAGTGTGTATGCACTTCTTTCTTTTATCTAACTGCATTCTCTAGGACTTCTCATTATAGCTATAATAACAATGGTAAAAGTGAGCAATCTTATCTTGTTCCAGATCTTAAGAGAAAGGGTTTCAGCGTTTTTTAAATCTTTGGTAAGATAGCAAACTGTGAGTCTGTCATATTGCTTTTATTGTATTAATGTCTGTTTATTTTATGCCTAATATTTTGAGAGTTTTTATTATAAAGAAGTGTTGAATTTTATAAAATATTTTTAGGCATGAATTTAAATGATCACATGATTTTCTTCTTAATTCTACTGATATAATGTATCACACTTATTGATTTGCATATGTTGAAGCATTCCTGCATCCCTGAAATTAATCCTACTTGTTTATGCCAAGTGATGTTTTTTGTGGTAGATTCAGGGTATATATGTGCAAGTTTGTTACAAGAGTATATTGCAAGGTGCTGAGGTTTGTGCTTCTAAGGATCCCTTTGCCCAAGTAGAAAACATCATCCCTAATTTGTAATTTTTCTCTTTTTTTTTAAACTTTTATTTTAGTTTCAGGCATACAAGTGCAGGTTTGTGATATAGATAAATTCTTTTGTCCTGGGGATTTAGTATACATATTAGTTGCAAGGTAATAAGTATCATACTCAATAGCTAGTTTCTCAATCCTCTCTCTCCTCCCGACCTCCACCCTCAAGTACACCCAGGTATCTGTTCACTTCCTTGTTTCCATGTGTACTCAGTGTTTAGCTCCCACTGATAAGTGAGAACATGCAGTATTTGGTTTTCTATTTCTGTATTAGTTTACTTAGGATAATGACCTCCAGCTTCATCCATGTTTTGCCACATGGGACATAATCTCATTCTTTTTATGGCTGCATAGTATTCCATGGTGGATATGTACCACACTTTCTTTATCCAGTCTACCATTGATGGACATTTAAGTAGATTCCATGTCTTTGCTATTGAGAATAGTACTGAGATGAATATAAAAGTGCATGCATCTTTATGGTAGAACAATTTATATTCCTTTGACTATATACCCAGTAATGGAATTTCTCAGTAGAAAGTTAATTCTGCTTTGAGTTATTTGAGAAATCATTGCACTGCTTTCCACAATAGCTAAACTAATTTACATCCCCATCAGCATTCTCTTTTCTCTACAACCTTACCTGCATCTGTTAATTTTTGACTTTTTAATAATAGCCATTCTGACTCGTATGAGATGGTATCTCATTGCAGATTTGTTTTGCATTTCTCTAGTTATTAGTCATATTGAACATTTTTTCACATGCCTTGTTGGCTTGTTATGCATGTCTTCTTTTGAAAAATGTCTGTTCATGTCCTCTGCCCACTTTTTTATGGGATTGTTTTCTTGTTGATTATTAGTTTGTTCCTCATAGAGTCTGGATATTATACCTTTGTTGGATGGATAGTTTCCAAACATTTTCTGCCATTCTGTAGGTTGTTTCTTTAAATTGCTGATAGTTTATATTGCTGCATAGAAGCTCTTTAGTTTAATTAGGTCCCACTTATCAATTTTTTTTTGTTGCAATTGCTTTTGGCATCTTTGCCATAAAATTTTTGCTTAGGCCTATGACTAGAAGGCTGTTTTTTAGGTTTTCTTCTAGGATTTTTATAGCTGGAGGTCTTATATTTAAGGCTTTAATCCATCTTGAGTTAATTTTTATATATAGTGAGAGGTCAAGGTCCAATTTTATTCTTCTCCATATAGATAGTTTTTCTAGCAACATTTACTTAATAAGATATTCTTTTCCTATTGTTTATTTTTGTAAACTTTGTAGAACATTAGTTGGTTGTAGTTGTGCAGCTTTATTTCAGGGGTCTCTATTCTGTTCTGTTGGTCTATGTGTATGTTTTTGCTGTTTCATATTTTATAATGATTTAGTTTGTTTATTTGTGTCTTTAAATATATTTTACCTCTTACAACTGTAGCCAGTCTTATTCCTTTTTGGTTTCCATTTGCATCGAATATCTTTAATCATCCCCTTTTTATTCTATGTATGTCTTTATAGGTGAAATGAGTTTATTATAGGCAGCATATATTTGGGTCATGTGTCTTTTTAATCCATTAAGCCACTCAATATCTTTTGATTGCAAAATGTGGTCTATTTTAATTCAATGCTATTACTCATACAAAAATACTGATTATTTCTATTTTGTCATTTCTTTCCAGATTGTTTTGTAGTAATCTCTTCCTTTCTTCATACCTGTATTCCATTGTGTAAAAGTGATTTTCTCTGGTAGTATGTTTTAATTGTTTTGCTTTTTTTGTGTGTATCTTTTTTAGGTGTTTTGATTTGAGGTTACCATGAGGCTTTAAAATAACATCTTATAATCAATTATTTTAAACTGATTACAACTGAACTCTGATAAAAACATCAACAACAAACAAGCAAACCATTGAAAAGAAAATTTAAAAAAACCCTCTACCTTTAAACTCACTCCCTCGTATTTTAACTTTTTTTGGTGTCTTATTTCTATTTTACTTTCTAGCATTTAAAATGTTTTTGTAGCTATTATTTTTGATACGTTTGTCTTTTAGTCTTTCTACTCAAAATATTAGTGGGTTACACACAATTACAGTGTTATTCTGTATTTGTCTTTTTACTTAGTTTTACCAGTAAGCTTTATACCTTCAAATGATTTCATATTGCTTGCTGACGACCTTTTCTTTCAGATTGAAGATCTCCCTTTGGCATTTCTTCTAGGACAGGCCTGGTGTTGACAAAATCCGTAAGATTTTATTTTTCTGGGAAAGACTTTATTTCTCATATTTATAGATTGCAGGATATTTTCACTGTATATAGTATTCTAGGATAAAATTAAAACAATTGAACTCATGGAGATAGAAAATAGAATTCCAGTTTTCAGAGGCTTGGAACATTACGGGGGGGAATTGTATGTTATTAATGGGTGCAAAAATATAGTTATATAGAATGATTAAGGTCTAGTAGTTGCAAGCACAACAGGGTAACTATAGTCAACAATAATTAATTGCAAATGTAAAAATAACTAAAAAGTAAAATTAGAATATTTCTAACATAAAGAAATAATAAATGCTTGAGATGATGGATATCCCAATTATCCTGATTTGATTATTACACACTGTATGTCTGTATCAAAACATCACCTGTGTCCCATAAATATAAACATCTATTATGTACATATAATAGTTAAAAATTAAAAATTAAAAAAAATTTTCCTAGAACAAATTTAATTTATAAAATTAAAGCATATAAAATAAACGCCCATTATTGATAAGCATTATCAAGTATAAATGAAAGAGGATGAAGGAAAAAGACTGATGAGAATGGCAGAGTTTTTTATAGCATAATCAAGAAAGGATTCTCTGAGTAAGTTATATTTTTTGAACCAGCCAAATGAAGTAAAAAAGGAGAACATTTTCTATATAGGAAATAACAAATCCAAAAAGATTGAAGTGAGAATAGGCTTCTCAGTTTCAAGGAACATCAAGAGGTGCAGAAAGTCTGTATCTTGGAGAATGAAATGAGAATCATAATAGAGGAAATCAAATCAGAGAACTATAAGAAATCTAGGTTAGGCCGGACACAGTGGCTGACACCTGTAATCCCAGCACTTTGGGAGGCTGAGGCCAGTGGATCACTTGAGGCCAAGAGTTCGAGACTAGCTTGGCTAACATGGTGAAACCCCATCTCTGCTAAAAATACAAAAATTAACCGGGTGTCATGACACATGCCTGTAATCCTAGCTAATTGGGAGTCTGAGGCATGAGAATCACTTAAACCAGGGAGGCAGAGGTTGCAGTTGCCACTGGACTCCAGCCTGTGTGATAGAGACTCATTTTTTGTTTCAAAACAAAACAAAAGAAAAGAAAAGAAAAGAAAAAGAAAGAAATTTAGATTGTGCAGAGCCTGCAATCCTTATAAAAAATAGTTCACACACTTCTTGCTTGCTTGTTAGTCTATTTAAGTTGGTGGTCCATATGCCTGTCTCTTTAACATAAAGAACAAGGGCCATGTCTAATTTATTTTGATATCCCTAACACTTAGCACTGGCATTTTGTAGTTATACAATAAACATATACTGAATTGCGCATATTATGAAAAATACCTTGAAAAAAAATTTGTCAATAAGAGTCACATTTTGATATTGAAATCAGTTTAAAGATTATTTTATTTCACTTAACCATCACAATATGCCTAAAAAGGAGAGGAATGGTCATGAAAAATGTGTGTTTTTGAAGATTAGCACTAAGTATTAGGTATATATTCTATGCAACTTCATCTCACATTTTTCTCCTATTTCTTTGTTGTATTAGCATTCTCAGTGAGGCCTAGAATACTAAATCATGCAGCTATATGGGGAATGCACTTGATTTCTAATTCATACTTTAAATGTTAGGTGAACTACCTTTCAATGAAATTGTAAGGGGGCAAGTTGGTCCTTATAGCATTCAGCCTTCCACTTCAGTATCCATCTACCTTTCATGACATTTTTATTTCTGAAGGTGCTCTTCAATGAAATTGCTCTTTCGAAGCTCTTAACTAATCCTGACTAATATGTTACTAAATTGCAGCTAAAATACTTATGTACTAAGTGGTCACAATGGAACTAAAAATAATAAGAAACTCTAATGGTAGAATTTCAGGCACTTCATCATGCATAGGGAATCTATTTTATCAGACAGAGGATTATTCCAAGCACTCCTTAAATTCCATTACCTAAAGAAGCTGCCTATTCTTCAGGGAAGATGTATGCAGCAGGTGAAACCACCAACTGCTTTTTCAACTATAATACACCCTGTATCACTCAAGTTTCCGGTACAGAAAAAAGAAAAATATTGAGATATTTTCAGCTGAAAGATATTTAATACAAGAAACTAGGTGCTTAATATATTTTTGGAAGGGCTTGATGCTTAGGTAACCACTGGAACTTCAGGAACTACACCCAGAACAATGTCAGAAAACCTAATTACCAGATAGCTAACCCGTTACTTCTGTCATAATCAGACAGGTGAGGATCGAGGTAACCTGCACTGAAATTGTTCACCGATACCTTACTTTTGCTATACTCCAGAGAACACAGAGAAGTAAGATTAGGTGACTGCCACCACCAGCAGTACCATTATCATCTGACGAAATAACACCTCCACAACTGTTCTTCAGCAGTAATGAGAAGGCTTCTATCTCTCTTCAGCCTTCCAAATCACACATAAATAAATTTAATTAGCAGAAATAAATATTCATCCCAAACTGTAGCTGTAAAGAATCTGAGCTATGCTGTCTATTATGTTTTCAAATAACACTTGGGAATATTTTTGGATTTACAGATAAGTCACAAAAATAGTACAGATGGTTTTTATGTCCCTCGAACCCAATTTTCCCTATTGCTAATATCTTAAATTTGTATGATACATTTGTAACAACTAACAAATAAATATTATTACACTATTACTATCTAGAGTCAATACTTTGTTTGACTGTCCTTTGTTTTTATCTGATGTCCTTTTGTGTCCTGGAATACCATCTAGATACCATATGACATTTAGTTATTGTGTCTTCTTAGACTCCTCTTGTCTGTGTCAGATTCTCAGTTCCTCTTTTATTACTTTTAGCTTGAGAGTTTAATAAATGTTGATGAAGTATTTTGTAGGTTGTCCTTCAGTGTGAGGTTTTACTGTATTTTTCTCATGGTTAGACAGGGTTTATAGGTTTTGAGAGGAAGATCACAGAAGTAAAGTGCCATTTTCATCACATCATATCAATAGTACATGCTATCAACACCATTTATTTTTGTAGATGTGGGCCTTGATCATATTGCTTAAATAAGGTTTGTCTATATATGTCCTTATCTATTGTGTTCCATTGTCTGATGTGTCTGTTTTGTTGAAGTTTCATGCTGTTTTAATTACTATAGCTTTATAGTGTAGTTTGAAATTTGGAAGTGTGATGCCTGAAGTTTTGTTCTTTTTTTTGTGCCTTAGCTATTTGAAATTTTTGGTGGCTTCATATGAATTGTATAATTTGTATAGATTTCTATTTAAAATTCCATGGGTATTAGATAGATATTGCATTGAATCTGTGAATCATTTTGTATATTACGGATATTTCAAAAATCTGTTTTCAATTCATAACAATTCAATTCATAAACATAGGATATCTATCAATTTATTTGTGTCATCATCAGTTTCTTTCATCAAGGTTTTATCATTTTCAGTTTAAAGGTCTTTAACTTCCTTGGATAAATTTGTTCCTAAGAATCTTTTTTGAAGCTATTATAAATATAATTTTTCCACTCACTTCTTTCTCAGATACTTAATTGTTAATGTATAAAAACATTATAAATGTGTGCATGTTTATTTTGTATTCAACAACTGCAATGCACTCATTTATCAGTTCTAAGACTTTTTTTGGTAGAATCTTTAGGGTTTTCTATCTATAAGATTATGTTTTCAGCAAATAGTGACAACTTCACTTCTTTCTTCCCAGTTTG